>NT_187558.1:0-157952 GCF_000001405.40 Homo sapiens
CCCCAACCTGAACAAGGAAGGCCAAACTGATTCCCCAGGTCTGCCGTGCTCGGGAGATGCGGCCCCTCAGCCCCTTGCTTGAACTCCTTTTGATGAGGTCAGCTGCCTCCCAAGAACAGGCTTTGGCAGCCTGAAAAAGTGCCCAGCACAGCCCTCAGACCACCCTCAGCCTTTCCCCAGACACTGGGCTGCAGTAGCTGAGATAAATGCAGGAGACCGTTCATTAAACCTACAAGGCGAACTGTCTGACCCGGCTGCAAGAAGGTGATTTCACAGGGTGCTGTTTTGGGGAGGTAAGGGACTTACCTGAGCTGCCAGTGGGAAAAAAATGCGTCTCACTGAAGTTGAAATGGCACAATCAGAAGCACTGAGGCCCAGTGCTGGCCCGCCCATGCCATGGACGACATAAGGACTGTTGGAGAAGAGGAGACGTGAACAGTGTGCAGCTTCCCGCCCATGCCATGGACAACACAAGGACTGTTGGAGAAGAGGAGGAAATGTGAATAGTATGCAGCTTCCCGCACACACTGCACCCAGGACTGTTGGAGAAGAGGAGGAGATGTGAACAGTATGCAGCTTCCCGCACACACTGCACCCAGGACTGTTGGAGAAGAGGAGGAAATGTGAACAGTATGCAGCTTCCCGCCCATGCCATGGACGACATAAGGACTTTTGGAGAAGAGGAGGAAACGTGAATAGTATGCAGCTTCCCGCACACACTGCACCCAGGACTGTTGGAGAAGAGGAGGAGATGTGAACAGTATGCAGCTTCCCGCGCTGCCACGCACACTGCACGCGTTGATTGGGTCCCTCGGTACTCAGGCAGCCTCCAAGGCAGGCTTTGCCATTCCTGTTCCCATTTCACAGTTGAAGAAGTGAGGTTCAGAGCTGTGAAGTAAAGGGGCTCGGGTTCAAGCTGGGCTGCCAAATGCTGAGGTGCAGCCCCTGAGGACTTCATAAAAGTCACCCTCTGTGGGAAGAGCTGCCACGGGGCATCATCTGTAGCATCTGGAAGGAACGCCAGTAATCCCACCGTCCCACAGTCATTTCCCCGAGATCTTAGGTCTCAAATGCCTTTGAAAATTCATTTTACATGGCTTTCTCCTCTGTTATATTTCGATCCCCAGGGCATGGTGTATGTGCTAGTTGCCATTTCTAGCCTCAGCCTACTTTATGTAGGCACTGAGCAAATGCTGAATGAATCATTACACATGTTCACTGAGCTTTTTTTGAGAACTCTGACTGGTTGAAGTATTTACTACTCACTCTGGGAACTTGAAACAAAAAGCGACTAAATGACAGAGGCTGGGCCTGAGAGCACAGGTTGCATCGTGCTGGGGGAGGTCCCCTGTGCAGGGCACCATCCCTCACCCACTCACCCGCTCACTCACTCATTCTTCCTTTCACTGGACTCTGTCAACTGGGGGTTCCCACGTGCCACGCCCCGTGCAAGGTGCTGGGTACACAGCAGTGAATGCTGACAATGGTCATGATAATAGGGCTTACCATGTGCGATGCTCTAAGACTAACACACTTCACATCTAGGCACTCACAATAGTGCTTACCACGTGCAATGCTCTAAGGCTAACACACTTCACATCTAGGCACTCTCAAACACACAGCTGTGCTCATTCAATCCCCTTCACAGCCCCAAAGGCAGGCACCACGTTACCCATCTGACTGATGGCAGCAACTTGCTCACACTAACGAATGCCTAACGAGCTGGGGTTTCCTTCCTCGCAGGGCTCACACTCCTACAGGGAAAAGAAACAAAAAGCATGAGAAATAAAAACTGGAAATGAAGAAAATAAAACCAGGTGGGAGGACAGGCAATTGCAGAAGGGGAGGTGGGGGGTGACAGGCAAACCAGGAACTGAGTCATGGAAATGACCCTGTAGTCCTGCGGGGCAGTGCACCTGAGCCCAGGCTGGAGGGCAAGGAGCTGGGTGTATCAAGGCAGTGAGTGGTCAGGCCCACAGACGTGAGAAGCAGGGATGGGAGAACTTGAGACAGGAGACCAGCAAGGGAAAGACAGGCCCACACAGGCAAGGCCCACACAGGAAGGCCCACATGTGGCTGGTGTCTCTGCCATGAACTACCTTCTGCCAGGCTTCCTTGACCACCCCACAAGCCTCCCTGAGGCCAGGGCCACATCCAGAAACTTCACAGAGAGCTACACCCTTCACACTGCTGTTTTAACTTAACAAGCTGTAGTTTGAAAGAGAACTCAGCAAAGCACTCGTGTAATTTCATTAACTTTCTCTCATCTTCTCAGCTGGGCATCTGCAGTTAATAATGTGCATTTGAGGAAAGAAAAATAAAAGGCATCAAAGGCCAGGTTAGAGACAGGGCAGGGACGGGAGCTCTAGGCCAGTGGGTTGTGTTTTTCTGACGTGTGCTCCAGCTGCTGTCAGCTGACTCTAGCCAGTCCCCAGGCCCCGACTCAGGTGCCACCTGGTTGAGGACCTCCAGGGAGTCCTGCTGTGAACGAAAACCCATTGTGATAGGGGCATGCATCCCCTTTGCCACCCCCTCCTCACACACCTGCTTTGGGTTGGGGGTGTGTCTCCTGCTGAACCACAGCACTGCCCCATTTTGGGTAGGACAAGTTCATTTCCATCTTGGAAGAATAGTCCACTCACCAAGGTGTTTGGCAGCTACATATAAACAGAACTTTCAATGAAAGGTTGGAATGCTCATCCTGTCCCACTCCATGTGTGATAGCGTCTGGAACCCTTTCCAGCAGGTCTATTCAACATCAATACAGCAATCTGGGCACACGTCTCGGCCCTGCCCTCACCCGGGGCTGTGGGCACAACTGGGATGCTCAGAGGTGGGCAGGCAAGTGTCATCTCACAGGTGCAGATGTCAAGGCTCTGAGGACACTGTGACCACCCAGCCCACACACGATGGCGGAGGGAAGATCCTGGCCATTTGTGGCCCACCCAGTTTTCCACCGCTCTCTATTTTCCCTACATCCCCACTTCCTC
This sequence comes from Homo sapiens, assembly GCF_000001405.40. Classification (NCBI taxonomy): domain Eukaryota; kingdom Metazoa; phylum Chordata; class Mammalia; order Primates; family Hominidae; genus Homo; species Homo sapiens. The sequence goes on from NT_187558.1 coordinate 2,991, forward strand.
TGCTCCTCTGCAGAGCATGGAGCCCCTTCCACATGTACAAGAGGTGCTGAGTGGGACCGTGGCTGAGAGAAGGCTGCCAGGCTGTGCCCTGTGGTGCGGTGGGCCTGGAGTGTGGGGAGGACTGCAGCGTCTGCAGGTAGGGCACCTGCCATGAGCGGGTCCTCTCCCATCTGACCCTCCTGCCCCCACATCTAGTTCTTCTCTTGCTGCCAGGTTCTACTCATTGGTAAGGTCTGCCTCTTGCTGGAAGCCCTTCCTCCACTCCTGTCGTCCTCAGAAGGGTGACCCTAGAACTCCTGAGGGTGGCATTCAAGAACTTCCCAGCACCACAGATGCTCAAACTGTTTCTTCTCAGGGTCAAAACCACAATGCTGAAATATCATCTCTTCTGAAACTATTCCAATCAATAGAAAAAGAGGGAATCCTCCCTAACTCATTATATGAGGCCAGCATCATTCTGATACCAAAGCCGGGCAGAGACACAACCAAAAAAGAGAATTTTAGACCAATATCCTTGATGAACATTGATGCAAAAATCCTCAATAAAATACTGGCAAAACGAATCCAGCAGCACATCAAAAAGCTTATCCACCATGATCAAGTGGGCTTCATCCCTGGGATGCAAGGCTGGTTCAATATACGCAAATCAATAAATGTAATCCAGCATATAAACAGAGCCAAAGACAAAAACCACATGATTATCTCAATAGATGCAGAAAAGGCCTTTGACAAAATTCAACAACCCTTCATGCTAAAAACTCTCAATAAATTAGGTATTGATGGGACGTATTTCAAAATAATAAGAGCTATCTATGACAAACCCACAGCCAATATCATACTGAATGGGCAAAAACTGGAAGCATTCCCTTTGAAAACTGGCACAAGACAGGGATGCCCTCTCTCACCACTCCTATTCAACATAGTGTTGGAAGTTCTGGCCAGGGCAATTAGGCAGGAGAAGGAAATAAAGGGTATTCAATTAGGAAAAGAGGAAGTCAAATTGTCCCTGTTTGCAGATGACATGATTGTATATCTAGAAAACCCCATTGTCTCAGCTCAAAATCTCCTTAAGCTGATAAGCAACTTCAGCAAAGTCTCAGGATACAAAATCAATGTGCAAAAATCACAAGCATTCCTATACACCAACAACAGACAAACAGAGAGCCAAATCATGAGTGAACTCCCATTCACAATTGCTTCAAAGAGAATAAAATACCTAGGAATCCAACTTACAAGGGATGTGAAGGACCTCTTCAAGGAGAACTACAAACCACTGCTCAAGGAAATAAAAGAGGATACAAACAAATGGAAGAACATTCCATGCTCATGGGTAGGAAGAATCAATATCATGAAAATGGCCATACTGCCCAAGGTAATTTATAGATTCAATGCCATCCCCATCAAGCTACCAATGACTTTCTTCACACAATTGGAAAAAACTACTTTAAAGTTCATATGGAACCAAAAAAGAGCCTGCATCGCCACGTCAATCCTAAGCCAAAAGAACAAAGCTGGAGGCATCACACTACCTGACTTCAAACTATACTACAAGGCTACAGTAACCAAAACAGCATGGTACTGGTACCAAAACAGAGATATAGATCAATGGAACAGAACAGAGCCCTCAGAAATAACGCTGCATATCTACAACTATCTGATCTTTGACAAACCTGAGAAAAACAAGCAATGGGGAAAGGATTCCCTGTTTAACAAATGGTGCTGGGAAAACTGGCTAGCCATATGTAGAAAGCTGAAACTGGATCCCTTCCTTACACCTTATACAAAAATCAATTCAAGATGGATTAAAGACTTAAACGTTAGACCTAAAACCATAAAAACCCTAGAAGAAAACCTAGGCATTACCGTTCAGGACATAGGCATGGGCAAGGACTTCATGTCTAAAACCCCAAAAGCAATGGCAACAAAAGCCAAAATTGACCAATGGGATCTAATTAAACTAAAGAGCTTCTGCACAGCAAAAGAAACTACCATCAGAGTGAACAGGCAACCTACAACATGGGAGAAAATTTTTGCAACCTACTCATCTGTCAAAGGGCTAATATCCAGAATCTACAATGAACTCAAACAAATTTACAAGAAAAAAACAAACAACCGCATCAAAAAGTGGGCAAAGGATATGAACAGACACTTCTCAAAAGAAGACATTTATGCAGCCAAAAAACACATGAAAAAATGCTCACCATCACTGGCCATCAGAGAAATGCAAATCAAAACCACAATGAGATACCATCTCACACCAGTTAGAATGGCGATCATTAAAAAGTCAGGAAACAACAGGTGCTGGAGAGGATGTGGAGAAATAGGAACACTTTTACACTGTTGGTGGGACTGTAAACTAGTTCAACCATTGTGGAAGTCAGTGTGGCGATTCCTCAGGGATCTAGAACTAGAAATACCATTTGACCCAGCCATCCCATTACTGGGTATATACCCAAAGGACTATAAATCATGCTGCTATAAAGACACATGCACACGTATGTTTACTGCAGCACTATTCACAATAGCAAAGACTTGGAACCAACCCAAATGTCCAACAATGATAGACTGGATTAAGAAAATGTGGCACATATACACCATGGAATACTATGCAGCCATAAAAAATGATGAGTTCATGTCCTTTGTAGGGACATGGATGAAATTGGAAATCATCATTCTCAGTAAACTATCGCAAGAACAAAAAACCAAACACCTCATGTTCTCACTCATAGGTGGGAATTGAACAATGAAAACACATAGAAACAGGAAGGGGAACATCACACCCTGGGGACTGTTGTGGGGTGGGGGGAGGGGGGAAGGATAGCACTGGGAGACATACCTAATGCTAAATGACGAGTTAATGGGTGCAGCACACCAGCATGGCACATGTATACGTATGTAACAAACCTGCACAATGTGCACATGTACCCTAAAACTTAAAGTATAATAATTAAAAAAAAAATTAAAAAAAAAAAAAGAAATATCATCTCACCCCAGTTGTGATGGCGTTCATCAAAAAGACAAAAAATAACCAAGGGAACTCTTGACACTGTTGGTGGGAATGTAAACCAGTACAGCTACTGTGGAAAGCAGTGTGGAGGTTCCTCACAGAACTACAAACAGAACTGAGGTAGGAGGTGGGACTCAACTCCAGAGGTGGGGCTCGAACACCGGACCAGATTGAGGACTAGCTAAAACAGGGCTGGGGCGGAAGCAGCTTTCAATCAGACACACCCACCAGTGCCATGGAAGTTTATCGTTGCCATGACGACACCGGGAGTTACCGCTCCTTTCCATGGCAATGACTCAATGACCCAAAAGTTACTATGCCTTCCTTAGAAATTTCTGCATAAACCGTCTTTAATCCGCGTGAAATTAAAAGTGGATTAAACATGACTGCAAAACTGCCCCGAGCTGCTCTTCTCTTCTTACAGGGCAGAGAGGGTAGCCCTGCTCTGCAGGAACCGTCTCAGAGCTGTAACATTTCTTCTTTATTAATAAAGCTGTTTTTGGCCGGGCACAGTGGCTCACGCCTGTCATCCCAGCACTTTGGGAGGCTGAGGTGGGCGGATCACGAGGTGGGAAATTCAAAACCAGCCTGGCCAAAATGTTGAAACCCCGTCTCTACTAAAAATACAAAAATTAGGTGGGCGTCGTGGTGCGTGCCTGTAATCCCAGCTACTTGGGAGGCTGAGGCAGGAGAATCTCTTCAACCCAGGAGGCGGAGGTTATAATGAGCCGAGATCGCTCCACTGCACTCCAGCCTGGGTGACAGAGCAAGATTCCGTCTCTAAATAAATAAAGCTGTTTTCTTCTTCCTTTGGCTTGCCCTTGAATTCTTTCCTGGGCAAAGGCAAGAACCCTTGCAGACTAAACTCCACCTTGGGGCTCACCTGCCCCACATCAGAACTACCATAAGATCCAGCAATCCCACTCCTGGACATTTATCCAAAGGAAAGGAATCGGTATATCAAACCAATATCTGCAACCCCATGTTTATTGACAATAGTCAAGACGTGGAATCAACCTAGGTGTCCAACAGCAGATGACTGGATAAAAAACGTGGTATATACACACAGTGGAATACTAGTCATCTGTAAAAAAAAATGAAGTCCTGTCATTCATGGCAAAACGGATGGAACTGGAGGACATTATGGTAAGTGAAATAAGCCAGGAACAGAAAGTTAAATACTGAATGTTCTCACTGACATGTGGAAACTTTAAAAAATGTTGCTCTCATAGAAGTAAAAAGTAGAACAGAGGATATTAGAGGCTGGGAAGGGGAGGGAGAGGGGACGGATAGGGAGAGATTTTTTAAAGGATATGGAATTACAGCTGGATGGGAAAAATAAGTCCTATGGTTCTTTGGCACTGTAGGGTGACTATAGTTAACTATAATTCATAGTTTCAGATAGCTAGGAGGAGAAATTATCGTGTTTGAGACGATGGATGTGTTCGCCACCCTGATCTAATCCTTGATTCATTCTATGTACTGCAGCATCCCTGTGAACCCCACGAATATGTGCCATATTGTGTCAATTAAAAAAATAATAAGAAGTAATTGAGAACCCTAATAAGTATGGTTTATCTATTAACATTTACCATGTTAAAGATGAAAATGGAGAACAATTTAAAATCTTAAGAGTATTAGTCTCTAGAGGGACAGGACTAATAGGATAGAAGTGTATATGAAAGGGAGTTTATTAAGTAGTATTGACTCACACGATCACAGGGTGAAGTCCCACAGTAGGCTGCAAGCCGAGGAACAAGGAAGCCAGTCTGAGTCCCAAAACCTCAAAAGTAGGGAAGCCGACAGTGCAGCCTTCAGTCTGGGGCCAAAGGCCCGAGAGCCCCTGGCAAACCACTGGTGTAAATCCAAGAGTCCAAAACTGAAGAACTTGGAGTCCGGTATTCAAGGGCAGGAGGCATCCAGCGTGGGAGAAAGATGAAGGCCGGAAGACTCAGCCAGTCTCGTCCTTCCGCATTTCTCTGCCTGCTTTTATCCCAGCCACACTGGCAACTGATGAGATGATGCCCACCCAGATTGAGGGTGGGTCTGCCTCTCCCAGGTCCACTGACTCAAATGTGAATCTCCCTTGGCAACACTCTCACGGACGCACCCAGGAACAATACTCTGCATCTTTCAATCCAATCAAGTTGACAATAGTAACCATCACATTAAGTAACCAATTAGTGAAAACTCATAATGAATCCATTATGCTAATGAACATCAAGGATTATGTTATGTTCATAACATAACATGTTACGAAAATAACTATATTTTCTTTAGAAACTGGTGACAGGAGTAGCATTGTTTAGATGTGTGAATGCTCCTGCTGCCTGGCTCCTGGGAAACAAGTTTCCCATGTGGAATTCTGTATTCAGTCTGCAGTGACATCACACGTCAGTTGCCTCTGCACACTTGTGAGAGAACGGGAGTGGAAAAGGCACTCAACACTTCAGCCATGAGAGGAAACCTGTTTGAACTAAGAGTCCCCTAAGAGGGGAGCCAGCACCACTTAAAAACCTTTAAGTACTCTCAATAGAAATCTTTAGTTCACAAGATGTTTTACAAATACCTTATCCTAGTCTCCATATCATTTGTGGAAGGGAAAGTTTAGATTTTATTATTATTTTTTAAAAAATTATTATAGATATATTTATTATTAAATTTTAGTCAATTTTATTAATCTTTTGATCATGTGATTTTTCTATGTATTTTGCGAAATCCACAAAATGTATTCAAAATATATTTTCTTATATTTTCATCTAAAGAGTCTTGCTATATTTATAAAGTTTCTCAGTCCACCTGAAAATAACCTTTGTGTATGTCTTGAGGTATAGATCTAAAGGTATCTTTTTTCAAAATGAAGAGCCAATTGCCCAAACGATTGGGCACTTTATTTGTTTTCTAATAGACTAAGTTTCAACACAGAAGAGGGTCTTCTTTGGTGCTCTGTACTCTTTTCCTTTGGTCTATTTTTCTCTTCTACCAAGATATCATGTGGCTGTAATTGCAATGGATTTATATGGTGTGCTTATATCTGGTGTAATGTATCCTCGACTTACTTTTTCTCCTTTAAAAGTATCTTGGTTATTATTGTCCTGTATTGTTTTTGGAGTCAGCCAGTCAAGTTTTAAAAAACACGTAAACAGATGCAGGTGAACGTGTCCCCATGGGTGTGTGCTTGGTGGGAACTGCATCAAATTCATCACCTCACTTGGGGAGACTTCATCGCTTTACCATGCAGGTCTCACCACACCTCCCCATTTATAGACATCTTTAAAAATATTCTTCACTGATATCTTTATTTTTTCATAAAGTTATTACCCTTGTCTTAGTTGATGTATTCCTAGGTAACTGATAACTTTTGTTGATGTCAAATGAAATTGCTTTTTATAATTATGAATTGGGTACTGCTGATAGTTTTGTTTACTAGTCTTGTGTCCAGTTGAACTCTCTTATTTGTTATGACCTTTTAAAATGTAGATTTTTATAGGGTCAATAAAGAATGATGGTTTCCTTTTATTCCTGACCCATTGTTCCACATTTAGTTCATTTTCTTGCATTATTGCACAAGCCGGTAACTCTACCCGAGGTTGCATAGAAAGGGTACATAGAAAGGGCATATCTTTGCCTTGCTCCTACCTCCCAAAGGCAGTTTCTGAAGCTTCACTGTCACATGTGGTGGCTGCTTTTTCTAGTCTATGATTTAGATGCTGCTTTTGCATCAACTTAGCTGTGGATTTTTTTTTTAATGAAGTTTCACTCTGTTCCCCAGCCTGGAGTGCAGTTGTGCAATCTTAGCTCCTGCAGGCCTAAGTGCTCTCTATAAACCCCAAGTGCAGCAGGCGGGAGGAGACTCTGGCTATGCACAAAGTTTGCTGGTGGGAGGACAGAGCCAGGAACTCTGTGTGTGTCAGTAAAATGTTGGGGTGACAGTCACCTGGGGGGAAAGCCATCACAGAGGCACTGACATGAGCTGTGTGCATTGGGCAGTCTCTCCACCTCCAAGGGCCTCAGTGTCCTCTCAGGTGTGAGGGTCAGTGGTCCCCGTGGCCTACTGCCACATTCATTGAAATGCTACATGTCCAGAATATGCTATTTACTGGGGGGATAAAGGGAAAGAAATATACTTTGCGCATATTTCATACGGAAGACAATAGTGATAATGCTTCAATTAGTGCATTGGAGATGCCAGGTTGATTGTAAATGAAATTGTGCTGAGATCTCAGCTCTGCACCATAATTGCACTAAGTTTTTTGAATAGAAAACACTTTATCAAAGTTGTGACTTAGTGAGGAGAGATTGCTAATGTTTTTTGCAATGGAGTCTGTTGCTTTATCACATCAAAGATTTTGTTACAAATGCATGCCAGGTGACCTATGAAGTCATAAGCCTGCAGTAACTCACCTGGCTGGTGTAGAGGAGTGTAATTCTAACACGGCCATCCCTGTGGTAAGGGGAAAGGAAAACACTGAAAGGTTGCTTCTCTGTGAACAGAGTGGCTGTTTCCAGGTTTCTGACCCCAAGGACGTGGGTTCCAGTGGACACAGTGAGCCAGGCTGTGGGGTTACACAGCATGTACCATGATGATGGGGGTTCCTTCCTCTTAGGACTCAACACGCCCAGGGCCCTCTGGAAGCACACTCTGGAAGCTGTCCTTCTGCTCTGTTGAGGGGTAAAGAGTTGGTGAATCACCCCCAACCCCTCTAGTCCTTACTCAGTTTCCATCTAACACTACAGATGGGGCCTCATTATACAGATGCAGAAACAGAGACCCTGAGAGAGGTCTGGCCAGGCTGAGGCCCACAGTGAGTTCGTGATAAGGTAGGACCAGAGCCTGGGTCTCAGGCTCACGGTGCTCTCTGTGACCCCACTAGGTCAATCCTCTGTAACCTGCTTTAAGGGAAACAGGGTGGGGCCACACTCCCCGCAGCTCAGTCTGACCCTGTGGATCTGTGGCCTGAGAGTAGGACACATGCACCAGAATAGGTGATTCGGAGCCTGTGGTCCACTCTCAGCCTGTGTCCCCCACCCCACAGGCAGGGCCACTGCTTCCAGATTAAAGGAAAGGTGAGTTACTTAGCGCTCATTAACTCACGAAGTCAGAGGTAATCAAGACCAGATTGAACTTCCGTCCAATCGACTTAGGCACTCTCATGTTTAAAAATCCATATGGGGAAAATAATGCAAGAACGTAATTTTTTAAAAAGAATGTGGAAAAGTGGTGTAAAACTGTTAATTGTTCTTAATGTGAGCTGCAACTTTGGCCTCACTGTGGCTGCTCCGTGACGGATACTGAATGGCGGTGGGGCTCCTTGGAGCTTGCTGAGGGTTCCCGCCTGTATCCACTTTCCCTCCAGTCACATTATTTTAAGAAGGGAAACTGCCCCCCATTCCCTGCCTCCCTGCTTCCTTTGTGGTCCTTGGGAAAAAGAAATTCCACGAAGAAACTAGTCTGTGCTGCTGGGGTAAGGACAGTGTTTTCCCTGGAGGAGGCCACGCTGGAGGGACCACAGAGGCACTGCGGGCAGCTCACACCCTGCTCCAGTGTCCAGGTAATGGCCACAGGGTGAGCTTGGTTTTTCAAAATCTACTGAGCACTTTTCTGTAAGTACATGATATTTCAATGAAGCATTATGAAATTATATTATCAGAAGCCAAATTTGGTTTGTTTCCATTGGGTTTTCAAGGTCTATTTTATTCCTATCCTTTCCTTTTTCTTTACATTTTCTCCTCTTCTTTAACTAAAAAAACCTCTATAAGTTTGAAAGACTCTCAGGTCTTCAGGATAAAATGCGAATTGGTGCTTTAAGCTTTGTCCCTTCCTGCAGTGGGACTCACAGTCCCCTTTCAGAGACCTGCTTGGTCAAGGGTAGTTATGGGAGTTTAGCGTCAGCTTGGGCAGCCTTCCCTGCTTCATGAGCTGACCCACTAGGGGCAGGATCACATGAACACACGTCCTCATCTCTGACACCCTGAGACCTTAAGCAGCAAGTGCAAAGGGAGGACATCCTATGAGTCTCCCTCCTGTGGCCTCAGGTGGGAGGCCACAAGTATGCTCACAGCTCCCGCTCCTGGTGCCTGGCAGCTCAGACCGTAGCTACTTCTCTAGGATTTTTGCACCCAACTCACACTCTCTCCATCCAAGACTCAAACAGTGTCCCCCTGCCTTATGCCCGGTCACCCTGTTCTCTTCTGCGTCCAGCCTCAGTTGTTCCTCCTGACCCAGCCCCTGCTTCAGCCCAGGACCACCTGAAGCCTCCCCTCTGGGTTCCAGCACTTCCCTCCGTCATGATCTGCACTCCTGCTTTTTCTCGCATGATTTCCCCTCCTGCCACTCCTCACCATCTAAAACAGTGTTCACTTCTGTTTTGCTGTATTGTCTGGCTGTCCTGTATGTGTCTGAGCTCATGAGGGATATTGCATCCCTGTACCCAGGAGAGTGTCTGGCAGAGAGCAGGTGCTGCGCAAACAAGCAATACATGAGTAAGCAAGTGAGCCAGAGAGTACAGGCAGTACCCATATGCCACAGCTTCCCATGCGGCTCTACTAGGAATCACTCTGCTCCACGGCCAAGGCCTCCCCTCCCTGTGTCGGTGTCCCCGGCTCCATGGCCAAGGTGTTGCCTCCTACTGAACGATTCTGAGATGCCTGAACACCATGTGGTTAATCCCAGAGGAAAGTTTCACCGTTGGAATCCAGGCCCTGGCAGGAACTCAGAAGGGGGCCTTTGTCAGCTGCCCTCATCTCCCTTTGGTGAGAGAGCACATTAAAGGCCGAGAGTCCATCCATGAGAGCAGCGCCGGGCGACACACGTAACTGCTAAATGAATGAGTGAACAATGAACAAACTCTGGAGGCAGAGTCCTTAGGGGTTGGCCCGGTCTCCGAATTTCCCTGTGCCGTGAGTGCTGGCCCCCAAGAGGGTTCCGCTGGGCCTTCTCAGACCTCCTCAGGCTCAGCAGCGCCGGATCATGACATCACCACTCATTCCCAGCTCTCCCTGGGATAGTCTCTCAAATGATTAGTGCCAACAATCCTTGACTCCAGCTCTGTTTCTTGTGTAATTCAAAATAAGCACAAACCTTAAAGTATATCTGATTATTGTCCCCATTTTAACAGGAGGAAACAAGCACAGACAGGTTTAGTTACCTGTCCAGGAGCACACAGTGAGCATTGGCAGAGCCAACGTATTTTTCCCCAGTCTGACTCCAGAGCTGGGCCTCTACCCAGGGTGCCACACGCGGTGCAACGCGGTGGGGACAAGGGTCTCTTGTACAATGTGAGGATGGCTGGGGTGAGCCAGGCCCAACACACAGGCCACGTGGAGAGGCCCAATGCGAGGCCACAAGCTGGGGCATCTCCAAGGAAGATCAGCCCCAGACTCCATCCCTGTGCCTCCTGGTCTTCCCGGCCCTCCCCAGACACTCAAGGCATGGGAAGGCTGTGACTGACCATGGCAGGCTGGGTGCTGGGGGCCCAGGGCAGAGGTGGGGGCTGTACCTCCACACAGCCCCCATAGGCAGCAGCCTTGGAGATCTCTCCCTTAGCAGAGGCAGGGCTGTGTCCCTCCCTACACACCCACACTTCTCTCTGGGCACACAGTGACTGGGCAGGCAGAGGGTCTCTTCCTCTTGCTGGCCATTCCTGGTATTTCCCCAGTGCCACTCTCCAAGCCTCTCTGCCTGGGTTTCAGAAGGGAGGATGGTGTTACCGCAGTCTGGAGGCCCCTGTGCCAAGGTCTTTCAGGACCCATAGGATCATCTTGGAGAAGAATCGTCTGTGCACACACAGCCACATGGAGGCCAGATGACCCTGGGTTCAAGAGATGCCTCTAGGGATGCATCAATCTCCAACGATTTCCCAGTCGTTTCAGAGCCAGGATGAGAATCCAAATGCTTGTTTACTGCAGTGAGCTTTCAGTTTAGTTTCTTATTAAATATAACTATGCATAATAGGCAACCCCATTCCCACACCAAAGCTGCAAGCATATTGCAAGTACCAGTTTATCTGTTGGGTAGGCAGAGGCGTTTAGCAGCATCATTTCAGAAGCGGAAGGAGAGTTTCCCCACACTATCCTGCAGGAAGCTTGGCAGAAGCCCAGATGCACATCCTGGATGCTGCCCAGCATCATGGCAGGAAAACGGGTTCAGAGCCACAGGCTGAGGCCTGGGGGACTTCACAGACAACTAGGACAGTTCTGACATTTGCTTCCCTCTTGACCACCTGCTTTGCCTGCTTTGCAAGGATGGACAGAGAACAGCACTAACATGCATGAAAATGAACCACACCCTGTGGTGGTGTCCCACTTAGCTGGTGGGGTCTACGGTGAGAGAATCGGCATGTATGTGTCCTGGGCCAGCAGCTGTCCTCAGGATGGACACTGAGGTCAGGTCCAGAGCAACTAATTGATGTCAGATCTGTGAGTTGCCTCTGATCAGCCAATCTGAGTAGCATGTTTATTAGAACATTTTTGCATTTGGGGGAACCAGAAGTGAGCTGATCTGCATATAGGCCAGCCTTTCTGCATAGGGCACAGCGTATGTGCAGGCAGGCTAGCTTATGTACAAACAGCCCACTATGTGTGACGTGGAACAGTCACTCTGCAAATAGAGCAGCTGTCCCCACATGGGCTACTACTTAGACCAAGCTTCTCCAACCTGCAGTCTGCGGGCTGCGTGAAGCCAGACACAGCTTCGAATGGGACCCAACACAAAATCGTCACATTTCTTAAAACTATGAGAATTTCTTCACGATTTTTTTAGCTCATCATCAGCTATCATTAGTGTTAATGTATTTTATGTGTGGCTAAAGACACTTCTTCTTCCAATGTGGCTCAGGGAAGCCACAAGATTGGACACCCCTGATCTAGATGCAAGATGCTATTTTGGAAGATGGTGTTAGTGATAATTATTTCAATCCCTGGCAGGGGGGCCCTGAACAAGCTACTCCTCTCAGAGTTCCTGCAGTCTTCCTGGGGGTGGCACCTTCAGCTTGTTCTGTGCCCATCAGCGTTATCAGCCCAGTGCTTGGGCACCTGGAAGGCATCTCCTGTTCATTCCCGGCTGCCAGGGTGACAGAGGCTTGTGTTTTGCGATGTACCGATGGTTTATTTTAATTAGGTATGATAAGATGACAAACATGGAGACAGCTGTCTTGAAAGGAGAGTTTATTACTTAAGGTTCCCAAGAGGAGGGGGCATGGCATACCAGGCAAGGCCATGTGGGAAAGCACCAGCTCAGCCGGGAGGCAGCAGGAGTGAGGGGTGAGCAGGCCCAGAGCCCTTATCGTGGGAAGGAGCTGGGGAGGTGTGGTGACCAGCTGAGCAGGCCTAGGGCTGGCGTTTCAGCAATTTTGGAGGGCTCTGGGCTCTAGTTGTCTGGTTCCTGGCCCTGGGTGATTCAGGGTAGGGAAATACTGGCCTGGGAGTGCAGGAGCCCATGTAGGAGGTGGCTGGAGCCAAGGGCTTGGATTGGGCGGTTTGCACATGAAAGGCACACTCACCAGGGAGTCCCCAGGAATTAGCTACCCCTGGGAGAGGCAGTTCCTTCTCTGGTCAGTGAGGCCCCAGGATGTCAGAGCATCATAAAATACAGAAATTAAAAAAATAGGATTAATACAACTTGGAGGAAGCATATGGGGTTTTGGGGATGCCGTTCAGACCTCACACTGGTCCAAGCCTTCTGCCTTCCTGGGACTTCTCCACCTCTCCACGCGGTGACAATGGGCAACAGAGACTGGGCCAGGCGGCACGCTTCTTCCCCCGCCCCGCTGACCCCACCAGAAAACACCATTTGCCGTATGATCTCTGGGCAGTGGAGGTCGTACTGTGGGAGGGGCAGCTCTGTTCTTGAGCTCCTTCCACTGGGAGCCCTCAGGCTCAGAGCCCACGTCCCTCCCACCTCCCATCTCCATACCTTCTGTCATTATTTAAATGAGAGTATTATGCAAATGTAATGCAAAAATCGAGTTCAACAAATCTGTTCTTACCCACACAGGGGCAGCTAATTTATGGAGCTCAGACTCAGTCTAGGTCCCTTCTTCGGGGTAATGCTGTTTTTGGAACCCCAGACAAAGTAACAGCAACTCCAAGATTTTCACAGAAGCTTCCTTTGATGACTCCAAGCTCCCCCAGACCCGGTGGAAACGCAGACTCCTTGGCTAACACTGCCATGGGAGTAGAACCCACCACAAGCCCCCTACACTCCACATGGGGAGAGCTGGGACCCATGCCCTACTGGCTAGAAAGTGGTCCATCCTGAGGGACCTGAGTCAACAAGGATGCCGGGGCTGAGCCGGGCCCTGACGGGCACCCGGGACCTCATGGGGGAGCATCTGAGCAGGGCTGGGATGAATGAGGAGACACCAGCAAAGAGGATGTTGAGAACAATTCCTGGGGAGAAAATTGTGGTCTCATTACCTCATTCGAAGTGGCCTGATCTCAAGGAAGCAGGGAGCAGAGAAACATAATCGGAACATCTCTGTGCATCAGGTTTTCGTACTGACCGTGAAGCACCAAGTGGAAGCAAGCCTCGCGCTGGGAGGACAAGGCTCTCGGCGTTTCCTTGTGGATTTATTTGCTCAGCATGAGTGCCCTGTCAAGCCACCCAAGGGACAGAGCTTCTGGCTCAGGGACCACGGTTGGCTCAGCACAGGCAGCCTCTGGAGATGAGAGGGAACCAGTGGATACCCTTCTATCCCTGCTGGCCACGAGGGGTGGCAGTGTCCCAGGTAGAGGTACTTAATAAAGAGGTTGCTGGTTTTATTTTTCTCTAAATTATTTTTCGAGGAGCTTTTCCATAAGCCCAGGCCCTGGGTTCACACCATCACTGGGGCAGAAGCCTCTTCCCTGCCTTGTCTGATGGGGTCTTTACACCTTCCTCGGTCACTGATGCCAGGTGCTATTGTTCCTGCTCAGCCAATGTCTGGACTGAGTCCCGAGCCTCATTCCATGGGCAGTGGCTCTGTCTCCAGGTGGGGCACATGGAGGCCAAGTCCCAGGGCAGGGCCCACGGTGGGCCTGGTCTTACGGGTGGTGAGTCAGCTGGGCCGGCTGAGAGAGAAGAAAATGAGCGGAACCAGGAGCAAGACAGGTGGAGGATGGGCAGAAGACAGGGTGGCCTCCTCAGGTGGAGAGATCTTGAGGGCCATTTTTCATGCCACCTCCCTCCACAAATCTGCCCACGGCTCCCGATAGCCACGCTCTCCAGCACCTGCCCTTTCAAACTCCAGGGCAAGCTCCAGATATCACCACACTGACCATCTAAAGGGAGCTTGGTTAGCAGTGAATACGTGCCCGTGACCCTGTGGGCTCGGGAGACCCCCATGGGGCTTTCCTGCTCCCTTGGGTAGGGGAGGCTCACGCCTGTGGGTCGGCACCAGTCTGCTTCTCATGTCCCTCCTCACCTCCCAGGCCCCTGGCCCCGGACAGGATAGGTAGAGGCATTTCCTCTTTTCTGCCTTGACTCACTTCACAGAGAGGGGCCTCCCCCACGTGCCTGGCCCCACTGCCAACCCACCACGTGCCGGCCTTGGAGTATGGGGGAATGTGCTTTGCTGCCATTTCTGAACCTGAGGGAGCTTATCTTTCTTCTGAGAGCCCTGTTCTAGGTAGGCAAGCTCCTGTATACTTTACTGCCATTTGTTCAAGTTCCAATTATGGAAGGGACCCTTAGTGAAAAGAGCTTGGTGCTGAGGTGTAATTCTCTGAGCACACTGGGCCTGAGAGCAGCCTTGCAATGACAGGGTTTTCCGGCTCGAAGGAGCCGTCCCCGAGTCCTTTCCACTGGTCTTGGAAGGGAAGAGTCTGTGTCTCGGCGACAGAGGGTGTCTTTGTGGATAAATGAGGCCTCTTTGTGCATGGCCTGCCCAACAGAGGCCACAGGCCGGACACATGCTGACCTTGGACACCTTCCATCTCTGGGGTCAGGGCTGGGACCAGAGGAGATGCCGAGGCCAAGACTAAAGCCCCCCAAAGGTCTTCTGGGCAACTCCCCGTTCAGGGCTAAAAGTCTCCCTGTGATCCCTCCCAGAGGGTTCTGCTTGCACCCCCAGGGCCAGGCACAGCCCCCACACTCTCCTCCTCCCCACACCAGTTCCTCTGCCACCCTCATGGGGCCTGACCACTCCCTGCAGCTTGGGGAGTCCAAAGCACCCCCTTCCCTGAGGGACAGGAGGGGCCCCTGAGCCAGGGCCCTCTAACAGCCATCCCGGGGCCTGGGGTCTGTGGAGGGGTCACGTCCTTGCTCCTTCCTTTCTGTGTTCCCACTTCTACGAGGAGAGGGGTGGAGACTCTTTCCAGCTCTCCAGGTCTACCTCCACACAGCCTTGGAGGGGCGTCCTGGGGGTAGATTACGAACAGGATGGGGCGCTGCTGTCTTTGTGGAAGCCCAGGCCTCCTCCTCGAAGGCCCTATGATCCCGTGTCTGACTTGTAGGTGTCCGTGTCCCCTTCCCCACCAGGCTGTTCACTCCTCCAGGGTACAGGTCCCCCCTCCAGCTCCTTTCTGGGACCCAGAGCTCACTTCAGGGCTCAGCACAAAGTAGATGGCCTGAGATAAGCAGACAAGTAGATGGCACCGCTGCCAGGCCCACGGGGATCACAGGGCTGCCCACGTGCTCCACGAAACACACAGGCACTGACGTGATGGCAGAGCACCACCAGGGTCTTTCAGGAGGGGACTCAGAGTGCTGAACGACCCCACGCACGCAGTCGTGAGGAAAGAGCTGGGCCTGCTCAGCTCGTCCTACATGTGCAGAGAACACAGTGATCAGAGCTCCTGGCAGTGCCCACCTGTGGTCAGCCTGGGAGAAGGAGGCCTTGTCCTCGATGACAGTGGTTCATGTGCACTGCTGTTTCTGGAGTCAGCAGAAACAAATCCATTCTTTAAGTAACGAACAGAGGCGCCTCTGCTACTTGACACAGAGCAATGCTAGGTGTCGGGTAGTCAGGGGCCAGGGCCTGGGTCTGGGGACTGCGGTGCCCGGTCTAAGACAGAGGCCAGGCTGGCCATATCAGCGAGCAGCAGAAGGCCCCCCAGAAAGCTGTCTCTGGTCCAGCGGCGAGGAGCCCCCACAGGTAGGAGCCACCAAGCGCAGTGACCGCGTGCTCTGCTCTCCAGCCCGTGACAGATCCGAGGGGCACTTTGCAAACTCTCCGAGGCCAGGAGACCATGCATCCTCTTTACCTCCTGCCCTGGCCATGACTTCCATCATGCCCGATCTGACCCTCACCACTATCAGGCACCCTGAAAGGGAGCGTATTCGTGGATGGTAAATGCTAGCCCCATGGGCAGGGGCTTCCTGGCCTGTGCCATGTGACCCTCCCTGACACAGCTGCCTGGACCTCAGCCAGGACTTTGGACTCGGGGAGCAGGTCATCAGTCACACCCTTGGCAGGACCTGTCCTGGGAGCCCTCTGTGTGTGGGGAGCTGCCTCATTCCCCTGTGAACACAGTAGGGCATCATGGGGTACGACGGTGAGCACTGGAGCTACCCTGGGGGCTGGGCTCAGTCCTGAGGTCAGGCCCAACCTAAGCTGGGCAGCCTGGTGTCAGCTGCAAGAACCCTCTTCACCTTCCTCATTCCTACATGACTTTCCAGTGTAGGCCATCGGGTGGGATGGGGTAAAAAAACACAGGCCCCATTCTACCCCTCTGCTGATCCACACATGGACATGTGTACACCCAGGCCTCCCTGCTCACAACCATGGCCAGGAAGGCAGGCTCCGGCCAGGGCTCTGAAATGCCAGGAGGGTATAGAGAAGACAGGTGGCCCTCTGCCCCTGCAGTCAGGCAGCACCTGCCCACTCCGAATGCTGCAGCCAGCTGGTTACAGTGTCTGTTACTCAGCTAGTGCGTTTGCCAGTGCTCTTCAGTGTCACCATCGTGGCAGCCTCTGTCATTGAGAACAGTTTAACACAGGAGAAAGAAGTTGCAGGGCCCTGCCCCGGTAGAGGTCTGTCTTCCCTGCCAGCTTTACCCAGCGCGGCCGTGGGAACTGCAGGAACCAGGCTCCCAGGAGGATGCAGACTGACTGACCGCTGCTCCCCGGGGAAGAGCCGCTTTCTAGCACTTCCTTCCTCTTCCTGCAGCCCTCTCTTACCTTCCTGGGGTAGGGAAGGGATGCTGATGTGCTGAGATGGGGTTTTCTGCCTGTTAGAATTGCTGGGGAAAACAACTTACTGTTTTAGCAAGGAAACAACATGCTTCATGGCAGCAAATTGTGTTTTCAGGGGCTCCAGAAAGATATCAGTCTGTTATAAAATAATCAGGCCAATGCTCAGGACCCATCACTAAGGAATAAACCAGCAGCTCTCCACGAGGGGGCACAGCTAGCTTTCCTCTTCACCTCCAGAGGCTGAGGCATCTTGCTGGCTTGAGGCAGCCAGGCACCAGGTGGGAGCTGCAGTGCAGGGGCAGGCCTGGGGGCCTGATTATCGCAGGAGGAGAAATGCATAGTATGTTCATCCCCCCAGAGTGACGCTGGAGAAAAGAAGCCCCAGGTCTCTCCCTTGCCCCTCTATTCCCCACCAACCCAGCTGCCCCAGCAGAGGGACAAAGGCCTGGTGATGCCTCTGTCCTGGGGACAGTGAGTGATGGGAAGGGGGCCCAGCGGGTTTGTCACCACTGGGATCTGACACATGCAGACTCCCAGGTATCCAATAATAAGTCTCATGACCAGCAGGGGCTAAGGGGTGTTGGGTGTGCGTTTCTGTGCTTGTGTGTGTGAATTCCAAGAATCTTTCTTAAATTCTGGACATCTAGGGGCCAGGGCTGTCACTTTCCACCATTTCTGAGAGCACAGACATGTGCACTGCCCCCTCCTCTCAGCCCCCCTCCCTTCTTCTTGCTCAGTGCTCCATACTCCCAGTCCCTTCAGTTCAGGCCTGGAGGAGTCGCCCCTCCTGGAACTGCTGAAGGGTGGGGAGGCAGCTTTCTGGACAGAGGAGCAGGCAGGGAGGGTGCTCCCCCTTGCAGGCTGTTCTGAAGGGTGGATTCTTCTTGCTGCTTCTTGGGAGACTGCATGCCCAAGGGAGCACAGCCATGCCAGCCTCACGTGACTCATCTGAAGTCACAGCCAGCTCTGTAACCTGCTCCGTTGTCGTGAGGCTTTGTCCTTGCTTTGTCCCCACCACTCTGAGCCTGTATGTCCTGCATGTTGCACACAGCTCAGCCTCACTTGGGCCCCACTTCCCAGAGAAGCCAGGAGCAGACGTTCCTCTCAGAGCTCTCAGCGCCCGGTGGGGCAGGGCCCTTTAATCACGCCATGAAAGACAGCAAGGACATGAGTCTCTGCTTAGTTACTATCTAGGTCTCTGTGGTCCAGCCGGGGAAGGGGTGGAGGCAGCATGTTCCCTGCTGTGGCCAAACTAGGCCGCTGGGCCCCGGGTGCTGGCCTGCCAGGTGCTGTGGGGTCTGCCCCGTGCATCTTGTGCAGAGGCCCTCCCCAGGCCCCACTGGACCACGGCTAAGGCTGAGCTTTAACTCGTTTGTATAAAAGCAGATTTCAGGTGTACTAACTGAACAAGACGATGCTTTTAAAAATCAAGAGTGGCAACAAAAGAGCAAGGGGCCACGCCCCAAGGTCCCACCCGAACACCTCCCAGTAAGTGACGGCAACACAGGAGACTTAAGGGATTCAACGGACACGTCCTTTAGCCAAGATGTGGCATTTCTGTCTGTAATGTGAACACTTCCTTATATGATGGGGGTTAGTAAACATCCCCCATTCCTCAGGTGGGGACAGTCACATGCTTGCAGGAGGATTTTCCTATTACGGGGCTGAGACCAGTGAGGCAATGATCTTGGAAGCTGCCATTAGTCACCATCTGGGCAAGCAGCTGTTACAGTGTGCAGTGTTACCCTTCAGCTCTGGGGTTCTTTGAGCCCTGCCGGCGTGTCCTTGCTGACCGTCTCTGATTGGGGCCAGGCTGTGGGTGTTCCCGGCCATCAGAGCTGCCGGGGGACCCTGGAGAGCAGCTTTCCCAACTGTGTCATCATAGAGAAAAGGAAGCCGAGGCCACGGTCCACAGCTGGGGGCACAATCAGGTGAGAATTCTAATTCCTTGAGCCTTTCCCCACACTCTGGCCTGAACCAACCCTGCTGACTCGCTGGTGAAGTCCCCCCACCCTGACCGCCTCAGTTTCTCTCCCTGCTGTGCTGGTGCCCTGAGACGGGTCGCTGCTGCATTGAGTATAAGTGCTTCTGAGCACAGAGAGGACTTCCAAGCACTGTGCAGAATCACCAGCAACTTTCAGAAAACAGACAAATTGCTGGGGAAGCAGCATCATTCATGCCCTCTGGTTGAGGGAGGCTAGGGGCCATCCAGGGGTCTGGGGAGACTCGGGGATCCAGGCCCAGACAGAGCCTGTTCCCAGACAAAAACCATGGGTGGCACCCTTCACTCTCTCTTCCCATGGAAACTGCATCCAAAGCAAGAAACTTCCATTTGAGACCACACTGAACAAGAAAGGGCCATTACATTTTATTCTGAAATGGCCCCTGGAGAAAGAATGGAAGCAAATTGCACAAGTGGGCGTCCATCTCCTTCCACCCGGCCACGGTCACCGTGGTGCTCGGCCAGGCTCCTGGTGACGTGAGGCAAATCTCTCCGCTGGCAAACCAGCCCACACACTCCCTCCATTGCAGACGGTCACCCAGAGCTGGGAGAAGCACCAGGGCCCTGAGCCCGGCCTCTACAGGCACAATGAGTATCATTTTACATCTCTGACCACGTCTTATCTTCTCTCCAAGATGCGCTCTAACACTTGGTCAAATTAACAGTAAACAGCGTCTTCCAAGCTGAAAACAAATGCATCTCACTTGACATTCCGCATCAGCACCATCCCTCACCTCAGCTGTGTGGGGACTGGACTCTTCAGACAGCAGTGCTGCTCAGAAGAGAGCGAAGGCAGTGGCCAGCCCCTCTCCTGCCTGTGCACTCGGGGAATCTGCCGGTTGTGAACTGGCCTGGCCACAGAAGGCGCCTTCCTCTGCTCTGACCACGGTGGAGCGCGGGATCTCCTGGGATGGGCATTTCTCTTTTCCTGGGAGGTCATGGGGCATGAGCTGCACTGAGCAGCGGAGGGCCGGTGGGCTGAAGCCCTGCTCTTGATTTCACACACCTCTTCCAAGACTTTCAAAGTGCTCCTTTGAAACATCCTCCGAGCCCCACGCTGGCCTCAACCGGGGAAAGTGCTCTGCTACCCTCTCCAAGGACAATTGGTTCTTGGGAAGGTCTGCCCCACACTGGGCCAACCACGAACCTTCCTTGGGAATTTCTGAATTAGAACCAACAGCCAAGGCTCATCCACCCCTGGGGTGACCAATACACATTACAGACC
Source organism: Homo sapiens (assembly GCF_000001405.40). Taxonomy (NCBI): domain Eukaryota; kingdom Metazoa; phylum Chordata; class Mammalia; order Primates; family Hominidae; genus Homo; species Homo sapiens. The sequence goes on from NT_187558.1 coordinate 23,338, forward strand.
AGGAGCCAGAGGACTGGTTGCTTTAAAACAGGAACAAAACTGAATCTGGACCAGCAGCTGCAACTAGAGTGACCCCGGTTAAGTTTATGATAATCCTCAGTCCTTCTCCAAGAGCTGTCTCCCTTCCGTGCGGGCCGAGTAGGTGAGCTGTACGGAGATGTGGTAGGAATCCCACCCCTGCCTCCTCAAGTCTGTGATGGTGGCCCTCATCTCTGCAATCCTCCAGGGATATGGTATTGCATTTAGTTTGCTATTTTCACAGGAAGACGCAGTTCCAGCGGCCTCTGTTTGGCCTTTCTGACCATAACAGCTCTCGCTCTGTGGCCCGGAGAGCCAATGTGAGGATTTTGCCCATTGTTGAATAGTCAGTTCAAGTCATGAATTTGGGAACTGGGGAAATAACCACAGGGTGGACGCAGTGGGCCCCACTATGCATCAAACCTGAGCCAAAACTCTGCTGACCCAAAAGTCCCCACCCTGACTGTGAACCACAGTGACATTTGGGGTTTCCAGGAGTTGGTGTCATTTCGGAGCCAGTGTCCAGTAACGCTTGCAGAGTCTGATCAGTTCCCTTCCACAGTAGAGACAGCGGCCACAGCGTCTTCAGGGAAGGCTGGGAGGAAGGTGAAGCCTCTATGGTTTCACCAGGTGGCAGTGTGGTGGGCCCTTCCTCCAGGGGCTCTGGGTCTGTAAACTGGTTTAAGTCTGAGAATTGAGATGCTGTGACTCTCTATTGTGGTGACATGTGTCAGACTTCTGTTCATCAGGCCTACAGCGTGGATCTGTGGCCAATACATTGGCCACAATGTTCCTGTTGAAACAGGTCGGGGAATGCCAGCTTTCTGCTCCAAACATCCAGGAACTTCTCCACGCCTCCAAGTGGCCTGCAAGGCCCCGCCGGCCCTGCCCCATTCCCTCTCAACTCCATCTTCCACAGCTCATGGTTCTCACTGGCCTCCCTGCTCCTGGAATGATCTGGGTGTGCTCCCACTTCTCCCAGGCCCAGCTCGCCTGGCCCTCGCCTGTCTCAGTCTCTGTGCAGGTGACAACCTCTTGGGAAGACCTTCCCTGGCCATACCTTTGAACTTGCTTCCTGCTTTCACATTGTCTACCCCTTTTCTGCTTTACTTTTCTTCAAAGCCCTTATCATTGCCTTGCACACTGCATGTTTTAATTATTTAGTTGTTTATTGCGTGTCTCCTCCCTCTAAAATTTTAATCTCCATTGGGTAGGACATTTCCTGGCACACACTCAGAATTTTTGTGTTATGATTGAAGGAATAACATCAGCAATGCTGTTCTTTCCCTCAATTACTATGTTTCGAGCTTGTGGCAATCTGTAGAAGTTAGTCAATGGGCCTTACAATCCTGATTTGGAGAAAAGGGGGCCATGAAAAGGAGGGACAAGGTGTCATATATCAATGCGGCCAAGCGCCGACGCTGCCTCCTCCTTCCCCAGATCACCAGGAAGAAGTCAGAGGAGGCTGCTGTTCGTCGACCCACATGCTCCCTTGGGAGCTTGAGAAGCTGCTCCCCCTGGTGCTGCCCCTGGGTGCTGCTTACCGGGAAACTCATGGCATCCGAGATGCTCCACTGCGCTGGGTCTGTCCCGGATCCTCCCCGCAGGTCAGATTCATGTCAGGAATGCTGGAGGGTATTGCGGTCTGGCAGGAGCTCACTGTAGGGAAGGAGAGGCTGGGCTGGATCCCGAGGCTGAGCCGTCCGGCTCTGCAGCCCTCCCGGTGCTCAGTTATCAGGCTCACTACCTCTCAGAGGCGTCTCTTCTCTCTGTGGACATTTGTCTGTCACAGCTGCAAGATTCTCACAATAAACTTGCTCTCCAAATTCCTAAAAGAATTGCTTGCTCCAGTTTAGCCAGCTAAGACTTTCTTGGATAATGGCATAATCTGGAAGGATATTTAACAAATTCGTTTAAACTGGAAATTATTGACTCTATGGTGAGTCAGGAAAAACCACATTCACAATATTCAACAGCAGCGCTGGGCCTTGATGCTCCAGGGCAGTGCAGGGATTAGAGATCTGAGAGGTTTCATGACGCTTCTCAGGGGAATACACGGGTTCTGGGTTCTTCTAAGGAAGCTCCCTCCATGCCAGCCACCACCTTGTCTCTGCTGGGGAAACAGTGGTCCAGGGGCCCTCAACTGCAGGGAAATTATTGAACCTCCCAATGTCACTGCATCTCCTCTGGGTCTTCTTTTATTCCTTCTTTCCCCTAGAAAACACCTTCTGACACACTCCCGCTCTGCCTGTCTGTCCCCGGCTGCGGCCAGACAGCGAGCAGGGAAGAAATCCAGTGTCTGGACTGTTTGCTGGTCTGCAGAACCTGTTCTCTCGCAGTATCTGTTTTCCAATGCAGATTTTCACAGTTCCCTAAACAAACTTAAATTTCCATTCCCAGAATGACTTCATTTCCTGATACCCAGCCCAAATTCACGTGTGTTTGCAGCCGATGTGGCAACATAGCCACTTGGGTGGGGGTGAACATCACAGCCCACAGTTCTGCAGTTCAGATTTGGGTTTATCTTAGCACTTAGTGCAACTTTGCATTTGGCAGAGGTCTTTCTCTTTTGTAGTCCTTGCCACCAACCTCATTACTTGTGAGAGTCTGCCTCATGCCTGTCTGCTCAGCAGATGAGAGACCTTGAGGCCTGGGAAGATCCCGCCCTCCTTGGCTCTGTATTCCTAGGTAGTGCATTGCCTAGTGGTTGGTTAATTTTAGGTGTCAACTTGACTAGGCTGAGGGAAACCCAGATAGCTGATAAAACATGCTTTCTAAGTGCGCCTGAGAGGGCGTTTCCAGAAGAGATCAGCATTTGAATCAGGGGAGTGAGTGGGAAAATCCACGCTCCCCGAAGCCTGAGGGCCCAGATAGAACAAAAAGGCAGAGGAAGGGTGAATTCTTTCCTTATTCTGGATCTGAGACATCCATCTTCTCCTGCCCCCAAACATCAGAACTCGGGGTTCTCAGGCCTTTGGACTCTGGGACGTACACCAGCAACTTCCCTGGTTCTCCAGCTTGTAGATGGCAGCAGGACTTCTCATCCTCCATAATCACATGAGCCAAGTCACATGAAAAATCCCTGCTCATCCCTCTCTCTGTGTACATCCTATTGGTTCTGTTTCTATGGAGAACTCTAATACAACTGGCACAGACTAGCTGCTCAACAAGTGTTTTATTTCTGAATGACTGAGATGTTTGAGCAGCTTCCAAGCTTACATACCTGTGTTTCCATTAAAGCCATTGTTTAGGAGGCCGATGGCAACAAAAGGTTGAAACATGGCAAAATCAGGGGCAGTTGATTTGAGTTATACCGTGATGTGTTTACATTTGTACTATGATAGGGATTTATTGCAAGGAGTTAGGAATGCTGGCCTCTAAAAGCTGGAAAAGTGTATTTTGTTGGGGAGGCCTGGGAGCCCCCATCTCACACACAGGAGGGAAGACACAAGGGGAAGCACTCGTGACGATGAACGAGATGTTGTTCCTGCCAGACGCAGGTCCTTGCCATGTGTGTGCATAACCTCATTTCATTCGATAGCAACTCAGGAGGAGGAAATCATTATTAACTGTATTCTTTTATGTACAGAAGCTGAGGCTTGAAAGTGAAAATGACACAGCTGTTCATGGTCTTGCTGGCATTGGAGCCAGGAGAGAAAAATCCCTTGGTAAAATCTCCCAGCTGAATGGGGAAATGGGAATATATCCCGCATGGCCCAAAGAGACCATGGCTGGAAGTGGTCACAGTCCTCGAGGGGGAGCTGTGTGGTGGCCAGGCTGTGGTCATGAAGACACAGCGGCGTGGGAGGCTGAGGGTCGCTGGGGATGCTGGCTGGAATGTTTCTGTTAATAGCTGGAGCTCCAGAGCCTGTCCTGGAAGAGGGATGGGGGCCTGGTCCTGGGAGGGTTTGTAAACCGGCATGAGCACATGTCAGGGTGGAGCTCTGACGTCAGGCCCCTGGCATGACTACAATAGACATCACACAAATGGGGCAAGAGGACCAAGCCTCCCCACGGTATAGCTGCTCAACTGTGTGGGGGGAGCTGTGGTGAAACACAGGACTCACTTAGAAAGATCCAGAGAGATAATCCACCCACAGAAAACCTGGAGAGCATTTTGAAACTTCCTACAGGAAATCCAGGAGAAAAGGAGTCCTATTCAGTGATGGGAGGGGGGGCAGGTCAGGGGCCGCATCGGAAGGCAGTCGTCTGAAGGGATGCACGGATTCACGACGGAGGTGCTGAGACAGCCACAGGAGATTGGGTGGGGAATCTAGAGCTGGGACACTCTGGTTTTGATGGAAGGAGCATCGCCCTAGGAAGCAAAGACACAGATTCGAGTCCAGGCCTGGAGCAAACTTCAATCACCCTTAAGCCCTCTGAGTTTCTGCGTCTGTGAAATAAGCATAATGATTCCCACCTCACAGGGGCAGGGGCAGGGGCAGGACACTGTGAGATTGTAAGGGTTGGTGTCCCTCTTCGCATGGAGTCAGCAGCCGGCTGGGCTGAGGGAGGTGTTTCTGTCCTTAGGTGTCGCAGGCTGGCTCTCGTGCGTCCTTCCTTCCACTTCTCCCCACCTGCATCCACACAGAGAATACACTACCTCCATAAAACGCTTGCAAGGGGCCACTGTTCTCAGCATTTCACCTGTCAACCTCACTTAAGCCTTAAACAGCCTATGATGAGGTTCTGATACTGTCTCCCTTGGCCTGCTGGAAGGCCCAGTGCTGAAGGACAACTGGGCACCCCGGCTCTTGGTATGGTCAAAGGCTCTCACCTGGACAGGGAGGACCCCCTCCTCTCCCTGGGCCTTCTGCTGCCCTGAGCCCCTACTGCTCTCTGCCACGGACTCGGGAGGGAGCATGAGCTGCATCCAACAGGCCGCAGCAGGTCCCGGCCTCTCAGCACCCAAGACCAGACAGAGGCAGTGCCTCGGCTGCAGTAAAGGCCTAGCGACCTGGGTGGGCATGGGGCACACGTTCTTACTCTGGCATTAGAGGTCATGCCACTGCTTGTCTTTACCATTCTACCCAGTGTCCTGCGAGGACTTGGTCCTCAGGTGGGTCACAAGTCTCAAGTCCATTAATTAACTGGTCGGAAGTGAGTCCTGGTCCATCCCTGTGAGGAGCAGGGGGACTGGCACCTCATTTCCTCGTGGACTCATGGCCCTACACAACGACACGCCTGGCCTTCCTGGACCCATGCACTCACTCCAGAAGGACATTTGCTTTGAGCTCGCCTGGTGGATGGGGTGCCCCTGAACATCTAACCATCAGTTGACATTTCCACCATCAGAAAGTTCCTCTAGGCAGCGCCCAGCTAGTGCTCCAAAGAGGTGCAGAATCTCTGAGAAATTATGTGGTCCACAGTCAACAGCTAACAACATTCATAGGACCTTATTAGCCGCCAGCTTGGAGAAGGCCAGTGTCCAGAATAAATCAAATCCTTCATAATTGTCAGACGGTGGTGACTCGGTCAAATCTCGGTCAAAAGATGCTCTGGCCAAAGTCAACAGAGAGCAGAAGCAACTTGCTTTTGCTGGTGCCTCAGCAAGACCACACAGGGAGATTTGCAGGCAATAAACAATGTTGCCTAAAACTTTCCCGTGAGGTGGGAATTGTTTTCATCCAGATAAGAAGGTGCCGGCCCAGGGGAGGTGTGGGTGGCCAAGCCAGGGATGGAGCCCTCACGTGGCCTCAAGAGATCAGCAGCCAGGAGTTAGCTCTCTCCACAGCACGCTGAAACGGCTCCACGCCTCTGCTGGTGTTTTTATAGGAACCCCTTTTGTGTGTTTGCTTCCTAGCTTGGACTTGAGTCAAATGGTCTATTAATTAGGGTAGATTTAGTCACTCCTGACATCAGCTTGTGTGGTTCGAGCAGCCCAAGGGGAAGAGACAGGGCCTCCTTTATGCAGACCCCGCAGTCTTCAGAGGACTGGACACAGCCCTGGCCCTGCTGCTGTCTGCCGTGCCTTTTGCTCCCTGGGTTTCATTCCTTGGTCTGTACCTTGAATATAAGGAGATCCGTTTGTACATTTTGCTCTCGTGCATTATACCAAAGGAAAAGAGAAGATAGTAGTTTAAAGCTCCCAACACTTTTCATGTTCTGAGCCTTTAGGTCTCCCATATGGTAGAGAATCCACAAATATCAGAGGACCCCAAACCTCGCCCGAGATGAAACAGCTTTGAGGCTTCCAGGGATCCCTCAGAAGGCTGCACCCAGGCCGGCCACACGTTAAAACGTGATGGCTCTTTTCTTCTCTGTTCACTGTGGTTTTATCAGACAGAGCTCTAAACCAGTTTATTCAATGACATGGAGTGATTCTCTCCTGTCTCTGCTTGTCCAGTGTGTGACAAGAGTTGAGAAGTGGGGAGACACAGGGGGCACATTGAATGCAGGTGGTCTTACCCGCCTCACTCAGGATGCACGTCTTGCCTGGCTAGGCTTGGCCTCCTCTGCACTGTGTGCCCCTCTAAATGAAGCGTGACCCTTCTTCCCCCACCTCATTGGTGGTTCTCTGCCCCCATGAGCTCAGCCAGCTGCTTCCCTGACACATGCAGGTCCTAGCCTGGACGAGACGGAGCAACAAGGCCGAGTGGGGACGAACACTGGCCTGGCTTTCAGGTCCACCTTTGCCTCATGCAGATGCTTCTCTACCCTTTATGATTGAGATCCTGGAGCAGGGGATCACCTTGTTGTAAGGACCATAAAGTGGAGAAGGAGCAGGGAGAGGTTAGGACCATTGCTGCAAGCTCCTGGTGTCCCTGACAGTGAGAGAGGCAGGACACTCGCCTGGGCTGGGCCTGAAGATGCTGCTTTCTCCTCTGCATGCCTGGGGTCCAACGAGGGTCATGGGACCCAGGAACGTCTCTGCAACTCTGTCTGTAAACATCCAGGAGCTAATTGTGACCTGGAAGTCATTCAGAACTCAGCACAGAGGCCTTCAGAAGTCCCTGCCTTCAGATAAGGGCAGGTGCTTACTCTCCCAGTGGCTAGCACTGTTAAAACAGACTTTTTTTTTTCTATAGCCAACATCATAACAAATGATGAAATACTCAATAACTCCCCCTAAAACGGGAAGAAAGGGAAGGGTTTCTGTTTTTGTTTTCATCTCTTCTTGTGAGCATTGGGCTGGGAGGTTCCAGCCAGTGCAAAGAGATGAGGAAAAGAAAAGTATAAATATTGGAAAGAAATAAGTAAAACTATCCTCATTTACAGGTGAAATGAGGTGGCAAATCCTAAGGGATCCACAAAAAATCAACTTGAACCAATAAGTGAATTCTGCAACATCACAAGACACCAAGTCAATATGTAAAGATCAGTTGTATTTCTATATACTACTGATGACTAATTTAAAACATCACAGGACACCAGGTCAACATATAAAGATAGGTTGTATTTCTATATACTGCTGATGACTAATTTAAAATGAAGTCAAAAATACTATCTATAATAGTAAAATCAAATACTTAGGGATAAATTTCACAATATATGTGAAAACCTCTACACCAAAAATTATCTGAGAGATATATCTCTAAATATACCATGTCTAATTCTTCACAAATTGATCTAATCATTCAATGAAATCTCAATTGGAGTCCCTGTGGACTTTTCCTCTAAATTAACAGGATGATTTAGAAGTTCATAGAGAAGTGAAGGTCTAAGGGCAGCCACAGCCATCTGGAAAGGAACGGCACCATCAGAAGAGTTGTCAAATCTTGCACCAGTAAGGCCATAAAGAAATAGCTCACTGGCATAGAGCAGAGATTACAGAAATAGGCTGACAGGCACCATCCCATGATTTTCAACAAGCAGGCCAAAACCACAGGGGGAAACATGGTACTGAAATAACTGGATATCAGGCCAGGCGTAGGGGGGCTCATGCCTGTAGTCCCAGGACTTTGGGATGCCAAGGTGGGAGGATTGCTTGGGTCCAGAAGTTTGAGACGAGTGTGGGCAACGTCATAAGACTCTGTGTCTCTACACAGAGATGTAGGCCAGGCACGGAGGTGCACACTGAGGCAGGAGGATCCCTTGAGCCCAGGGGTTTTAGGCTGCAGTAAGCTGTGATCGCAGCTTGGGCGATAGAGTGAGATCCTGTCTCTAAAATATAAAATATATAAATAAATAAAAGAAAACTGGATATCCACATGAAAAGAAAAAAGAATCTTGACTCCTCCCTCTCATACCTTCGAAACTGAGAGGTTAGGCAAGGGTTTCATAGAGAAGACACAAGCCATAAACTAGAAGATTGATAAACTAGAGTATAACTTACAAGGGAAACGAGAGTGACTTCATGCTGGAGAAACCTGGCCAGCACACTCTGCCAGGTAGCCGAGGTCAACATCAGCAGTGAGCCGGGCCGAGGCAGGACCCCTGATGTGGTGGGATGAGAAGCGCCTCACCTCTGCTCTTCCTCCAAGGAGCCCACAGCCGGAATCTGATCATGAAAAAAAGACTTCACACGAATCCCGGCAGACAGACACTCCCCCAGATGCCTGAGCCCAGCTTCTCAGAACTTTCAAGATCACAGAAAACAAGGAAGGTCTGAGAAACTGTCACGGCCCAGAGGACCCCAAGGAGATGTGACAAGCAAATGTCACACGGGATCCTGGATAGGATCCCGGCCCACAAAACGGCCACCCGAGAACAAACCAAATGAACCGTGGGCTTTAGTCAATGATTATGTAGCAACGTTTGTTCGCTAATTCTGACAAATGTACCATTATAATGTAAGGCATTAATAATAAGCAAACTGTGTGAAGTATATGGGAACCCGGCACTATCTTTATAACAATTCTGTAAACTCGAAATGGCTCTAAAATAAAAAAACTTCATTTTAAAAAACCAGCCACAGGGGAAGGAGGGAGATTGATAAATTGGACTTCAAGAAAATGGAAGTCATTGGGTGAAAATACACACAACAGGGACACCTGATGAAAGACCTCCGTGAAGAATGTGTAAGCAACTCTGGAGACCCAGCAATCAACAGACTACTGCCCAATTCTAAAAAACGGGCAAAGACTTGAGCAAACAGTTTGGAAGATACACAAATAGCTGATGAGTTTGAGAAAAGCTGCTCAGCCTCGTAGTGATCAGGAAGTGCAACTGAAAATCTCAGTGGGACGCCCTGCACGCCCGCCAGGATGCAGGCGGAAAGAGGCTGACAACACGACAGTGAGGCTTATGCCAAGCAACCGGATCCTCATCGCCTCTGGGGAGAGCCTGGAATGTGGCCACCACTTAGGACCATGGCTTGGAAATATCTTAAATCCAACGTATTTCTACATGCTAGTGATGCTGCTCATCAAGGGGGTGAGCACTCATGGGCTGGGGATGCTACAGGGTCCTCAGTGCCTGCCCATTTCACAGGACAGGAGACTGAGGTCTAGAGGGAGGCAACAGCCAAGCACGCCCTGGATCCAACGCCTCGCCCAAGCCACCACGGCTGCCTCCTCCTCTGGCCCCTCCATCTCCCCCACTCCTCCTTCTCCCCCTTGTCCCCCTTCTCCTTCTCCCACCCCTCCTCCTCCTACTCCCTCCTCCTCATCCATTGTCCTCCTTGTCCTCCTTATCCCCCTCCTTGTCATTCTCCTCTTCCTCCTAGTCCTCCTTCTCCTCCTCCTTCTCCTCCTCTTCGTTCTCTTCCTTGTCCTCCTCATTCTCCTCCTTCTCCCCGATTCCTCCTCCTTCTCCCCGACTCCTCCTCCTTCACCTCCTCCTTGTCCTCCTCCCTCTCCTCCTCCTCCTCCTTGTCTTCTTCTTCCTCCTCCTCATCCCCCTCTTCCTCTTCCTAATTCTCCTCCTCTGCCTCCTCCTTGTCCTCTCCCTCCCCCTTGTCCTCCTCGTCTTCCTTTTCTTCCTCCTCTTCTGTCCCAGGGCTTTCAAACTCTGGCTCTCCAACGACATGGAAGAGTTAAAAGGAGGAACGCCGGCTCAGCCAAGCCCCGGAGACTCCTACTTGATATGGGCAGTTTAAAGCCACTTTCCCTTTAAATTTTTCTGTGACAACTCTTTTCATGGAGAATGGAAAGACTCTCGTTAAGTGTTGCCGTTCAGAAGTGTTGGTGGTCGTTGCTAACATGAGATCCAACAAGGTAAATGCCAGAAGCCATCTGCAAGGGGTAATACCTTATTCTGCTTTTGCATAAGTGATGCTGCATCCCTTTATCTCTCTGCTGCGGCCTTCAGTGCTGATGGCCTGTGCCACCCAGTGACTGGTTAAATCAGCTTGAGGAAGAGCTCTTTTGAGCCTCTGTCCTGTTTAGCAGAGGAAACTTCAAAGTCCCAGCATCCTGGTCATGGAATGCTATGTTAACCCTTTCCAAAGTTTGAGACTGAGATGGGCAGACCATTTTAAAGACACACTGCATCCAGCCTCCCATGACAGAGCCTCATGGGAAGGGTGGTGAGCAGAGTCGTGGGGATATTCTATCCTGAGCCTTCCATGTTGGGGCTTCTCGGAGACAGGGGAGGACCACAGCCTCAGTGACTGGCCATTGGCCAAATACACTCATTAAAGTGCCCTCTTCTCCAGGGCTGGGGACCTGACTCTCTCAGTCTGTGGGGCCCAGCCCACCTGCTCCTCCCTAATGGCTCCTGCTGGATGGGGAACAGCCTGGCACCAGGTGAACCATCACTGACTCTCCCTGGGGAGAGACGAGGGAGGAGGGGGCATGTCCAAGAGGCCAAGGTACAAGCCCAGTGCCCTGCAGGTCTTCCAACATTTCCAGCCGTAATGGCCATGATCACCATGGTCTGGACTTTCTGAAGAAAGTCTTTTCACAGGCTCGGCCTGGCTGGAATCTGACCTGTGAAGCCTTTGGGTCAGTCGCAGGAATTATCAAGCATCTGCCATGCCTGGAAGAGTTGGACTGGGGAGGCACAGGGCCTGCCTGGCGTCAGGTGCTGAGGAAGGGATGATAAATGCACCCCCTCTGTTTTGTCCGTTTCTCACGGCCTCTCTGGCCACCCCGTCCGCCTGTGTCTGTCCTGCCCAGCCCTTCTCTGACGAGCGTGTCTTGGCGCTTTGTCTCTGCTCACCCTGGGCTCATCAGTGTAAACAGCAGGAGGTTCCACCCCAGGCGAGGTGTGCCATTGTGACCGAAGGTCTCAGGGAACAGAACTGAGTCTGGGTAGGTTGAGCTGGGAGTTTCATAGCTGTAGGAAGCTGCGATCGCAGCTTCATGATGCAGACAGAAGGCCTTGTCTCAGCTCAGTGGGGGAAGCCCCTTGTCGACTCTAGGCAGGGGGGATTGTACCGCTGCCTCTCCCAGTAGCAGCTCCCAGGAGGCAGTACAGTCACGGGGCCCCGCTGGTAGAAGCCTGAAAAGTCCATCGGGAAAACCTCAAAGGCCACCAGTCCTCGAGGTAGCTGCTGCTCCAGCTGTGCTCACCTGGAGTGGAGGGGCAAACGGCACCAGGGGTGGGAGAGGTCAAGGCAGAGCCTCTGCCCCATCCTAGACCAGCTGCACGAGACGACAGCTCACACCAGCTGCCCAGAGGCACAGCCCCTCTGCCAGGCTTCAGCAGGGCACGGCTTGATCTCAAGGCCCTCTCTTCTCGTCCCACCGCCCCTCCCTCCTGTGACAGGAGGACCAGCAGTTCCACTCTGAGCCCGGCTGAGGCCCGACCTCCTCCACCTCAGCCCTGAGAATCTTCTCCAGCTGGGATGGCTGTTGCCCTGTTGTCCTGTTGCCCTGTTGCCCTGTTGTTCTGTTGTCCTCTTGTCCTGTTGTCCTGTTGTCTTGCCCTCCCAGCTCCTGACCACACAGGGGCTTTGTTCCCGCGCCAGCCTCTTTGGGGAAAGTGGGGGAGGGGGGCCCTGCTCCAGGCTCTGGGACATTTGGCTTGGGCTGTAGCCTGTGTCCAAGGAGAAGAAACCCTGAAGGTGGGTTCCCACCAGATGTGGGCATGGTCAGCTACATCAGGCCCCCAAAGGTGTGCACATCCTAATCCCACGAACCCGTGGGCACGTTACCTTACATGCAAGAGGGGCTCTATGGATGGAGTCGGGATAAGTGTCTAGAGATTGGGAGGTTGTTCTGGGTCATCCAGATGACTTATGAGAGGGCCCTTATGAGAGGGAGACAGCAAGCTCACAGAGAGGGCCATGGAACAACAGCAGCTCAGACACAGCAGAGGCCGCACAGCTGTCCTGGGTGCCGAGTAGCTGCAGAGGTCGGAGGAGGTGCAGAGCAGGTGTTCTGCAGCCTCCAGAGGGACCAGCCCTGCTGACTCCCTGGCTTTGGCTCAGTGAAACTCATTTCGGACTTCTGAGCTCCAGCTCTGCAAGAGAAGAAATCTGTGCTATTTTAAACCACTAAATTTGTGGTTTCTGTTTCAGCAGCAGTGGGAGAGGGCGAAATGCTCTCCAGCTTGGCACCCGCAGCCCAGCTCAAAGGCAGGGACTGTGGTTGCTTTGCAAATGAGGGAGGCTGGGTCCCTGCCCTCACCGGGCTTACCATCTAGGTTTGGAGAGGAGTGACGTAAGGTGAAGTCAGAAAAGAATCATAAGAAAAGAGAGTCCACACCCTGGAAGGATCTGAGGCAGAAGGAAGCTCTTGCTGAACCACCTGAGAGGAGGCGGTCTGGCCTGAGCACCCTGGGGGGCCTGCGCCCCCACTTCGAGGCCCCTCTGGAAGGTGCTTGGCTCTCCGGATGACCCCAGCACTGGGGAGACCCGCTGTGCTTTCCAGGCAGCACAGACACCTCGGTGTAGGTGTTGTGGTGCCACAGGGAAGGGTGTTTCTTCCAGCCTGGTTCTCAGGACGGGCTGCTGGCTGGAACAAACCCCACCTCTATCTGAGCCACCAACCATCTGAACCGGTATTCTCTCTATCTGACAAATATTCCTCCTTCTTTACATCCCAGAAATGGTGAAAATGCACAATGCCTCAGGACGCCTTGAGGAAGGAGCAGCGTGTTGCTGCTGAGGGTGAACACACGTGGTCTCTGAGGAGAGGCGACAGATCTCCCTGGGCGTCAGTCATCCTGGGACTGGGTGTCGTGGAAGAAGGTGACACCAGGCAGAAACCAAGAGCAGGGGAGCTGCAGGCCGGTATCAGAGCCCGTATCAGAGCAGAGTGGCCCCTGAGCGGGGAGGCAGCTGGAGCTCACTGTTGGAGGAGGGCCCGGCACCTGCACCTGAGGACATGAGTCTGAGGCCTGCGGAGAAGCCAGGTGAGACACCGCTGTGCTTCTCTGGGCCACGGCCCCTCACGGCTGCATCCAGTCACCAGAGTTCCTCTGTGCCTCACCCACCCTTGATCATAGAAGACAGCCTGCATGTCCTCAGCTCTGTCCTCCAACCGGCTGCCCGGGAGGCCTCCCTGGCTGCTCCCCAAACTGCACGTGCCCTGAGTCAGCCCTGGGGCCTCATGGACTCCCCTGTTCACGCATCCCGGCAGCGCGCAAACCATCCCTGTCGGCTCCCAGTGAAATGCTACAGGATCTCAGGGCAGCTGCACCCCGCAGGTTCAGAAGGGATGGGATTCTGTGTCCTTTTCCTTCTTGCTTCAGACCTTCACCTGGGGCTCTAACACCGAAAGTCTGTGCCAGACAGAGGCATCCACAGCGACAGGAGCCTGGGCCAGGGCGGCCATCCCTGCTGCAGAGACAAATGTCAGTGTCCATGGAATCAGTTCGGTGCGGTGAGCGGCAGGTCTGATATGAAAGCTACTCGCACTTCCCGTCTGGGCAAGAGCAGGAACTCGGCAGGCAGAGAGCTGGTGGAGCTTTCCATGGGAAAACCAGAACCTTCAAAGAGCCCGGCCTCCCTCTGATCAGCCCCTTCTTTCTGATCAGATGCATTATTGACGAGGCAGCCTCCTCCACCTGCCTCTCATCAGAGCAGCTCGTTTCCCACCGTGGTAATTTATACTTGTGATTTTGGCCTTGATCAATAAAGGCAACGGAGAAGACGCACCCGTTCATTTCCTACAGGAGGGGCGGAAACACACAGGCCTCTGTGCAGAGCTTTCCTGGGCTCTTCTGAAGGCAAGCAAACCCATCAAAGGGAAGATCTGCACGCTGAAAGGTCAGCAGTTCCCTTTTCCCCATGGGATTTGTGTTAGCAACTTTGCGAGTGGAAGATGCATTTGGAACTGCCAGTCCCTTACAGCCCTCACATGGGAGGTGCAATGTTCATCCTGTCACTATTTTAAAACTCGTCTCAGGGTTGGGAGTAACTGAAACCGTTTTGGGCTTAATTTTGCATGAGGACGTAGCAGAGCATGACAGAAGGGAAAAAGAGAAAATGCTGGCAAAGGAGAAATGGCCCTAAGAGGGAAGCCGGATCCCTAGCTGGGTCGGAGTAGATGAGCGGGGAATGAGGGGCTGGAGGATGCAGCTCCGAGCGTGCAGGGGTGGTGTGCTCTCGGGAGGGAGCTGCTGTGGAGCTACTAAGGAGGGAGGCTGAGGGGTGGGAGAAAGCCCAGGGCTGTAATCGTAGCCCCTGGAGCCTGATTTAAAAGACTGGAGGAGGCAAAACCTTTCCTGGGTGACATCCATCCAGGGCATGACCCTGCGGCCTCCGTGTCTGCTGTGGGCGAGGCTGTCCCTGCAGCCAGCCCTGCCCCCATCCCTTCCCTTCTAGGGATGTTGGAGTGTGGGGCAGCCCAGCTTCTGCCCACAGCACAGATGAGGAACTGAGGATGCAGGGGCCCGTGGGGGACGGCACACGGTCAGCCCAGAATTAGGACCTAAGGTTGGCCCTATGGGTTCCTGCAGCACAGACGTGCAGCATGTGCACCCACATGTACACACAATCAGGCATAGCCACAGAGAATCACACCCTCCCACGCACACCCACACCCACACACCCTCCCACAGGCACACGCGCACCCTCACACTCATGGTCTCGCCCTCCCACAGGCACACCTACACTCACCCACGCCTACAGGCACACAAGCACACACTCCTTTCCCCCCACAATCCCTGCACACCCGTGGGCACCTATGCTCTCGTGTGGTCTGGATCTGCCCTCTGTGTGCACAGCCTGTGCCTGGCCCAGCGTGAGTGACTCGTGGATGCTCTGCAGGTGAGACCTGAGGTGAGTGTCCTGGCACCGCCCGGGCCTGGCTATCGGGAAGCTCCGCCCAGACGGCCGCCTCCTCCCTGGCGCGGGCCTCTTCCCTAGGAGGAGCTCGTTAGCTTGTTTTTCCATCGGTATTCTTTGTCCCCAGTCACCCGGACCTGGGGCTGGGCACTGCCAGGGGCAAATGTGCCATGTGGAGAGGCCAAGCGGGGGACAGGGGCGGCTTGTCCGCCAGGTGGCACCGAGGCGGCTGCGTGTGGGGCAGTGTTCCCACTCTCGTCACCAGCCCGCACTTCCCGCTGCCTCTGAGTATTCTGTGGGGGCTGCCCCGGCTGCAGCCCCAGGTGTAGCCTGCTGGAAATCTCACGGTGTCCAGGCCCCATCCCTAACCGGCCCGGGGCATCCCTGATTTCGTGCTCACCGAGAGGGGCCTCCCTCGGCCTGCCCAGCTAAGAGCCTTGCAGGAGCCCTTCTCCAGCCTCACACTGCCAGCCCCTTTGAATTGCAGCACTCAGGTCCCCAGGAAAGGTGTTTTTATCCAGTTAGCTGTTTTTTATACTTATGAAAAAGCTCCGTCGCTTGGAGCAAAGCAGAGTTGATTTTCAGATGTGATTTCTGCAGGCAGAGCAATGTCTGGTTCCTGCTGTTTCTTCTGATGGGCGCGGCGGTGACTGAGGGTGTCCTGCGAGCCGTCGGTGAGCGCTCAGCTGTCCTGGTCTGCAAGTTCCTACTGACATCACAACCTGCTGCTTCTCTCTGTCCTTAAGGGTCAGAAGATGGAGAAAAGGTTCATGTTTCCACCCCTGTATTCTGTTAGGTTCGGGTTTTTGAGAGAGGCTTGTGGGGAAGGGGCCGTGTCCCCACTCCTTCCTTTCTTCTTGTACACATATTTACATCCACTGATTGAGTGATTTACAATCACTCAACATGATTGACGGAACTTCTGGCACTGCGGAAGCTGTGCTAAGGCCTGGGCATTCATGGGACATGGAGCGTGCAAGAGCTGAAGTTTTAATGACTTGCTTGCAGAAAAAGATCAAGTTTTACAACAGAAAATTATGGGGCATAATTTCTATTGTGGCAAGGGACCAGGGCCGTCTCCTGGAGGAAATCTGGAGAGAACATGCCACAGCCAGGCCGGCGTAGAGAGAGGCTCTGGCAGGGGCCCCTCCCAACCCACCCCTGCATGCGTGGGGCTTCTGCTCAGCAACAGGGGCGCAGCTCCACTTTCAAAGTGTGAGGGGCAGGGGCTCAGGTCTCGGATGCCTTCACCACCTGCCTGAGTCGGGCATCGGGCAGGGAGCGTGCGGGGGCCTCTGCCTCTGCTGGCCCAGATGATTCCCTGGCCCTCCTCAAGTGCAGCTCCCATTAAATAGATAGAGCCGGGCTCTGAGCCACGAATTGGGCCAAGCATCCCAAGGGGGTGGAACCGAGTCAGGAGTCAAGACCAGAGGCCAGGAACTGCCCACGCCCATGTTCCTTCCACAGGGCCAGCCTGTCCGGTGGCAACACTAATACCATCCCATGAAGCCTGTGAAAATTAAAGGGAATGGTGCATGTTTAGAGGCCACACACAGCAAGTAACCAATGAACACCCACCCTTCATGCTTGGTTTTCATCACTGGGCCAGCAGGGGCGGAGGCCCCAGCACTCTCCCTGCCTGATGCCCGACTCAGGCAGGTGGGCTTGAGAGCCCCTCCCGGGGCTCCAGGGCTCTGAAGGCATCCAACACCTGGGCCCCTGCCCCTCACATTTTGGAAGTGGAGCTGTGCCCGTGCTGCTGAGCGAAAGCCCCATCCAGCTCTCCGAGAACCAGACGAGGGGCAAGGGAGATGAAGTCTTCCTGGAAACTTGGACTCCAGCTGGTGTGGGGGTCAGAGCAGCAGGCTGAGCCTTCAGGGGGCCTCCGGCAGGCTCCCAAGGCTGCGCTGTGCGTCTCTTCCACCACACGCACTGGGGCATGAGGCCAAGGGCATCGTCTGCAGAGCGAGAGGGAAACTGGGGTGGCAGGGCTTGCGGGCGCAGGACAGCGCCAAGGGGCTTTCGTCTCCCAGCATTAGGACGACCTTGTCCTCTGCCCCTGTCTGGGGGCCGCTGGGTCCCTCCTCACAGGAGCGAGGCAGGCAGCTCTGGTGCAGGGCCGGCCAACAGGCCTCAGATCTGGAGTCACAGACCCAAGGACGAGGACAAGGGCCCCACACACCTCCAAGCAGGCCCTGAGGTACTGACGGGCAGGCAGGACCCTCTGTGACCCTTCCTCACTCCTCACCCAGAGAAGCCAGGAGAGCGGGATGCCGAGGGACTGGAACAGAGAAGGCCTCTTGCAGGGGCTCATGGACAGGAAAACAGAGGAGCCTGCCAGGGCCATGGCCACTGGCAGGACAAGTGCCCACTGGAGCCAAGGCCTGGGCAGGGGAGAGGTCTGCAGAGCAGAGCCCGGCCCTGGGTTCCCACAGAGGCGGCTCGCACAGTGGCTGATTTGCCACTCGTTCACTCAGTTTAGTGAGCAGCACGTGAAATGCTAAATCCGTGTGGGCTCAGGAGCAGCCTCAGATGAGGAGAATCCCACAGTTCGTCGGTGAAGCCCCCACCCCAAATCTCCCACAGTCCTGCTCATGCCCAGGGCGGCAGGTGTCCTTTCTAATGGGTGAGAGCCAGGAGCTGGGGGCTGCGTGCGCTGTGGCCCCTCACCCATGGGGGCCTTCCAGGACCCCAGCAGATGCCTGAAACCGGGGAGTGCCCGACCCTGGAGAGTGTCTTTTCCTATACACACATATCCACCTGTGTGGGTGCGTAGCTGAGTGTGTATGTACACCTGTGTGTGAAAATATCTGTGTTTGCATTGGTGTGTGTGTCCATGAGTTTCTGTGTCTGTGTGGGTGTGTGTGCCCATGAGTGTGAGTGTGTGAATGTGTGTGGGTGTGTAGGTGAGTGTGGATGTGTGTGTGCGAGTGTGAATGTGTGCCCCGTGGGTGTATAGGAGAGTGTGTCTGTGTGCGTGTGCAAATATGTCTGTGTTTGTACTGATGTAAGTGTCCATGAGTGTGTGAGTGCTTCTGTGTAGGTGTGTGGTGTGAATGCATGTCTGTGTGTGCCTGTGTGTGTGTGTGTCCATGAGTGTGTGAATGTGTACCTGTGTCAGTGTGTGAGTGTGTCAATATGGGTGGGTGTGTCCTCCGTGAGTGTGTGCGTGAGTGAATGGTGTCTGTGTGCAGGTCCTCACCATGGGCCGTGTCTCGAGCACATGTGCCCCTGCCTCGGTGGACCGCACGGCCGGCTGGGAGACACAGCCCAGGTGCAGGGCACTCCACCTTTCAGGGCAGGCCTTGCTCGCAGCAGGTTTTCTCCCAAATCTTTGTCTCTCATCTTATCTGGGCGGAAGGTTTTACCAATGAGAAGCAGAAAGGCATTCTTTTCCTCCTTGCTGCCTGCTGACAAGAGGCAGCCAGCCGACCACTTGAAAGGGAGCCGGTACAGTTAGGCTGGGAGGGAAACTTGGATCACAGCCTGGAGATGGTGCGGTGTCCAGCCACTCTGCCGGGAGCTGGGCACTGTGTCTGACACACCGTTGCTGCTGGCCACTTCTAGTATTATTATTTCTGCTCTTTCCTTTCCTTCATCATATGCTCCTGGAAGGGGCTCAGAGGTGTCCCCACCTTGCCTGTCCTGGAAAGTTGTCTCAGAAGGCCCTGTCCCGGTGGAAAGTGCTGGTGGCTCTGGGTGTCTGGGCCTGAATGGTGGGGTGTGGTCCGCTTGGCTCTGAGCAGAGCGCCTCCATGACAACGCCACAGTGTGCAGGGAAATGGGGGTGGGTGTGGGGGAAGCTGGGGGGTACCCCCACTCCTACTACCTTGAGCTCAGACCACCCTCTGCAACTTCCCTGGGGACCCCCACGGCCACGGGCCCTGGTCCAGTGGTGGGCTCTGCTCAGCCCAAGGGCTTTTGGATTAGAGTGTTACCAGCTTCCTGAGCCCATCCCCACCGCCTGACCTCGGCCTTGGCCTCCTGAACTCATTCTCAGCCTCCTGAGCTCGTCCTCAGCCCCCTGAGCCCATCCTCATCCTCCTGAGCTCCTCCCCAGCCTCCTGAGCTCCTCCTCAGCCCCCTGAGCCTGTCCCCGGCTTCCTGAGCTCCTCCCCAGCATCCAGAGCCTGTCCCCAGGCCCTGAGCCCATCCTCAATCTCCTGAGCTCTTCTTCAGCCTCCTGAGCGGGTCCTCAGCCTCCTGAGCGAGTCCTCAGCCTCCCAAGCCTGTCCTCGGCCTTCTGAGCTCCTCCCTGCCCTCCTGACCTTGTTCCTGGCCTCCTAAGTTCATCTTAGCTCAAGGAGAAGGTCTTGGCTCCTCCTGCCTCCAGCAGCCCCTGGACTAGATGCCTAGTTTATCAGCAACCCAGATCTGAGCCTCCTATCTCAGACCCTGGACCATGGAGCTGTGGGCACCAGGGAAAGCTCTGGGGCCTGCTTGGCTTAGATAGGACCATCGGCCCCAGTGCTGAGCCTGGCTTAGGGCCACCCAGGGACGTGTGCTCTTCATCACTTCCTTCAAGCCAGTATCGCAGTGTCAGGAAGACCCGCTCTGTCCTGGTCACAGCGGTTCCCTCCTGCAGGACCCTCAGAGCCACAGGGCAGCAGAGAGACCTGAGCAGATGGTCCTGGTTCCACGGGGCTCCCCTATGTCACCCTGGACCCAGTAATTAGACTCTTCGGGTAGAAAGCTCCAAGGATCAGTGAGGTCTTGGGGGGTAAAGAGGCGCACACAATGATTGCTTTATCTCCCTCAAATATGCAGAAAATGAACTCCATCAGCACACACGGGCCGCAGGGCTTTGTGGGTCCCCAGGGCCCCCTCTGAATTACACTTTTGTTTTCCTGTGGGAGCAGCTTGTGCTCATTAGGGGAAGGCCAGGTGCCCGTTCATCTGGTCAGCCCCCATGCAGCCTGTTGGAGCAATGGGCAGGTGGCCAGGAGTTTGCCCCACATGTTTCTTTCTGAGTCTTTTGTCCAGCTGAGAACTTTCTACTTGATCTGTGCAGGATATCTGAGCAAGGCTGACCACTGCCCAGGCCCTGCATCTGGGCCCACAGAGGCCCCGAGCTCCACCCGTGGTGTCCCTTTTAGCTTAAAGCTGTGATCCCTCCCCTCTGCCATTGCTGGCAGATTTCCAGCCAAGGCCCAGACAAATTTCTATCAGGGGGTTTGAATGGGGTGTGCCTGGAGCAGAGTTTTGAGCAGGACCTGAGGAAGAACAGGGTCCCCCACAACACGGGTGCTGGGAGATGCTTCCTCTAGGCTGCATCCTGATGGGGCCCCACTGGGGATGCTCCAGCCAGCGGGCACTTCAAAAGGTCCCTCCGCTGCTCTGCTGAGGACAGTGATGATTCCTCAGCGTGACCACTCAGGTCCTTCCTTTTCCCCAGTGCCCAGAGCCATGTGCTGCCTGGGGATTCTGCTCTGTTACTTGGGACCCACCAGTGCCCATGGCAAGAGCTGCAGGCTCAGTGCAGCATCGGCCTTGGGACCTCGAGGGAGTGCTCAGCCACCCACCAGGTGACCCACCTGCCCCAGGGCCATCAGGCCACCAATGGTGGGGAGAGAAGGTGACAGAGGATGCAGGTGGCTGTCTGGGCCGTGTCTGCCTGGGGTGTGGAAGATGTCAGGGAACACAGGCCCCAGTCGGATGGAGACTCAGCTCCTAGTTGCTTTCGTGCTGATGGAGTGGTGGCCATGGACGGCACTGACACCCAGAACAGGATGTGTGGCCCGTGCCTGGGGCACACAGACCCCAGCATCTGAGCCCGCCTGTCGCTGGTGGGGGAGAGGGTACCGCAGGTGTCTAACGGGGGCAGAGGGTAGACAACAGCTCCCTCCAGAAGTCACTGCCCATCCAAGTCACGAAGCTTCCCATCAGTCCCCTGCTGCCATTATAACGGGCTTTGCTCAAAACAATGCCTTCGCCCTCTCCCAGCTCTGGAGGTGAGCGGTCTGGAACAGGCCTCACTGGGCTAAAACCAAGGTATCAGCCAGGCCTGGCCTCCTGGAGGCTCCAGCAGCGTCCCCTGTTCCACTCCTAGAGGCCCCCACGTTCAGCCAGTGTTCCTGGACCCTCCAGCGGCTGCCTTCCTAGTCACGTGGGCTCCCCCTGCCGTCAGATCCCTCTCGGGACATGTCATTGCCCCGGCCTCACTCAATACTGCAGGATGCTCTCCCCATCCCCAAGCCCTTAATTTATCCACATCTGCACAGATCCCAAGGATTCTGATGTGGACATCTCCAGGGCCATCAACCTCCTACCACAGCATTCCCTGGCCTCAAGGGCGGACCAGCTCAGCATTGGAAACGCCAGGGTCCGGGCCGGCCTCATGGCCTCCAGGCACCCTCTCCCATCCACTCTCCATCAGGCACCAGGCAAATCTCAATCCCCAAATCCCTCTGGCGCCATGGCCGTAAAGAGAAAACCCAGCCTGGGTGTGGCCCCCACCTCCGCGGCTGCAGCCCTGCCCTCCCCGAAGGCCGCTCCCCCTCCTGCTGCCGAGCCCAGGTCATGGCCTCAGCTCCAGCTTCTCACCGTTCCCAGGTTTTGCAAACTCTCTTGGGCCCTGTGTCTCACCTGCTTCTCCTAATTCTTACGTGGAGTCATGGAGGGTCCCCATATTGGGTTTTAGGGTTCAGAAGCAAACCCAACCCAGCAGGCTCCTCTCCTAGGAAGACCCCATCAGGGACCCCTCCCTTTCCACTGCTCTGTGAGCCTGCAGGGCCCAAGGTGGCCCTGATCTGACAGCATCTCTGTGTGGTAGGGAGGGAGCTGCGGGTGAGCAGCCAGTAGCACTCGTCTCACGCCCTCCCCAAGGCCATGTGTGTCTATGTCCACGTGTGTCTGTAGGTGTGAGCGTGTCTGCACATGTACATCTGGGTGTAGATATGTGTGTGTCCGTGTGTCTGTGTGTGTCTATGTCCCTGTGTGTCTGTCTGCATGTGTATATGCGTGTCTACATATGTGTCTCCATGTCAGTGTGTGTCTCTATGCATATGTACATGTGCTTCTGTGTGCATGTCCATGTGTTTCTATGTGTCTGTCTGCATGTGTCTAAGGCTCACAGGACAGAAGCCACAGCCCCACTTCTGTCAGGGCCATGGGGAGGTCAGTGTTCTGGAAAACACGTCCCCCAGGGGTCTCTGACTCACAGAACCACTTCCTCATGCCCTCTCTGCCCCCACAGTTGGGGAGCACAGGCGCCCACAGCTCAGACCCACAGCTGTGACTCACCCACCTGCTGGTCTCCAGCTGGGCCACTGCCCAGGAAGGGTAGCTGAGGACAGAGAAGGAGCCCACAAGCAGGCAGGGTCCCAGGCAGGGTCTCTCTGGGCCTGCACACAGCCTGCTGACTGGCCCTGGGCAGCCCTTTTCTCACAGGACAGGAGGCCTCCAAAACCCTTTGTGCCCAAGGCCCAAGAGCACTGGGAAAGGCCTGTGAGGCTGGGCGGCCACGCAGGCCTCTCACCCCCGGCCAGTGCTGGCCAACAAGTGAGCCAGATGGCATTTCACTGGGTCTTGATCTCCACATGTCCAAGTCTGCAAACACTGCTTCACATCTGCTTCTCCTGAGGGAGATGCCCCTTCATGTCTCGGGGTCTTTTTCTCATTCTTACTGATTTATAGAAATTCCTTACACATTCCTGAGGCCTACCCTTCGTTAGTTATGTCCCCGGTGAGTATCCTCTCATTTTTAGCTTCTCTTTCATTTTCTTTGAGGTTATTTTTGACCAATAGTTTTTTAAATGTACTCACATTTTATCAGACTCCTATTTTATAGCCAGGGCTTCTTACAATGTATTTAAGAAATCCTTCCCTACAGCCAAGGTCATAAATTGTCCACCTACATTTTCCAGACAAACTTTTAAAGGAAAACTCTTACATAAGTTCTTGCCCCATGTGGGGCTTTGTGTATGTTGGGAAACAGGGATCTTATTTCTTTTTCCATATGGAAAATCATTTTCCCACACCCAGTGATTGCTCTGTTCTTGCGGGAAGGGAAACTCCACAGGAGAACAGGGCAGCAGGGCCCCAAGGAAGGACGAGTGAGGCCCAGCCCAGCTGCCTGCCCCAGGAGTTGTGAAACTCCAGGATGAATTCAGCATGGAACAACTTTAATCCATTCTAATCTGAGGATAAAACTCAGAGAAGTCTTTGCTCCAGGTGAGGGTGCAGTTTGCACAATTAGCTAAATGCTGTCAGTACCAGGCTTTGGGATTTTCTGTTCTCCTTTCAGAGAAAAGGGCAGGGCAGGAAATGCGGGCACCAAACTGAAGTGGGTGTGCACGTGTGTGCTTCGCTATGGGTGTGACTGTATGTGTCTCCATATGTGTGTCTGTGTGGACATTCAAGCATGTGTATGTGTCTTTCTGTGTCTGCATGTGCACACGTGTGTCTACGTGTGTGTGCATGTGTGCCTGTGTATATCTGTATAGCTGTGTGTGCATGTGTGTCTCTGTATGTGTGCCTGTATGTCTATATGCATCTCTGTGTGCACATGCATCTCTATACATGTGTGCCCGTGTGCATGTGCACGTGTGTTCATATGTGTATGTGTGTGCACATGCATGTCTGTATGTGTGTGCGTGTGTTTCTGCATGTACATGTGCACATGCCTTCATATGCATATGTAGCTGTACCTGTGCATGTCCGTGTCTATATGTGCACATACATGCATGTATGTGTGCACGTGTGTCTCTGCATGTGTGTGTATGTGTCTGTGTATAAGTACGTGTCTACATGTCTGTATGTAGGTGCCTGTGTGTACATGAGTGTATGTGTCTCTGGGTGTGTGTGGTACATGAGCAGGTATAGGTTTGTGCATGTGTATGAGTGTCTGCATGTCTGTATGTGTGTGCCTGTGTGTGTGTGTGTATGTGTCTGTGTGTCTGTGGTTGTGTGATGGGCTGACTTGGTGCTGTGAGGATAAAGATGTGCTTCTCCAGGCCCTATGAGGCCCAACCCCCTGAGCATAGGGAGACCTGCCCTCACATTTTGTGTGGAGAACAGCAGGTGAGGGTGGGCACTGGAGTGCAGATGGCGGGAGGGCGGCCTCAGCCTGTGGAGTCTGCAGAGGGGATGGGGGTGTGTGCTCCCAGAGCTGTGCTCTTTTCCTTTTGGAGGCAGATTCCGTATCCTAAGCTGGAGTTCAGTTCTGAGGCTTTGGGTCCAAAACCTCAGTTGTAGGGTCAGGAGCAGGGGCACCAGGTCTGGGGACAGAACGTCGGCAGGTGGCTCCTGTCTCGTGCAGATGTGGTGCCTGCCTCACCCCATTCTCTGCCAGGACCCTGCAGGTTCGGATGCACATCAGGGACTGTGGCTCCCACCTTCCCTGCTCCTAACTCTTCTGTCCTCCCAGGCACGCCCCACCTCCAGCCCTGGGCTCACCCCAACCATCACTTCAGGCAGGAGAGTCCCCATTTGTGGCTACTAGTTCATTCATTCATTCAGAAGGGCCCTGGCCATCAGCCACCCTCAGAGCGGAGTGCAGCTCCACCACTTCGGCCAGGTGACCCTAGTCATGTTCATGAATCTCCCAGCCTCTGATCCCACCTCTCTCAGTGGGGCAACAGCACCCGGTGTGCAGGGTGGCGGCCCAGGGTGGCCGTGGAGTGAGTCACTGGGGAGGGTTCCTGGGTCCTGGGCATCTGAACTGGCTGCACTCGGAAACCCCAGTGCAAATGGGGCAGAGCAACAGTGCGTCTGTGGCAATGGTCCTGGGAGCAACGGTACGTCTGTGGCAACGGTCCTGGGCCCACAGCACGGTCCCAGGCATTCACTGAGTTCTCAATTAAATCAAAACCCCCTTCCACAGAAAGCCCCTCTCCACACTCAGAGGAGGCGGAGAGGCTGGAAGTGTCTCTTAATGAACTGTTTACTGCGAAATGCCTTTCACCTTCCAAGCTGCAGTCTTAGAATTAAACCTGGCATTTGAATGCAATCATGAAGAGAGGGGAGCTCCTCTGTCAGCCAGCAGGACACGATGAAAATCCAATTAAGTTGTGCATGTTAATTCCCCTGCCTGCCTGGGCTCATTGCTGGATGAGGGAGGGGGAGCACGCAGTTTTCTATAGTTTATCTGCACAGCCCAGAGGCAGGTGTTTTACCCGCTGACAATAAAACCCAACAGAGCTGTGACCAAGTGGGTGAAAATAGCAAGTCATTAAAAACGAGCATCTTGAATGCCCATCTTTCAATAACGTAGACGGAAAGTGCTGGAATGAAGAGATTAGGGAATTAATTGTATTGAGGATCCTCTCACTAGCAGACCCCAGGGCAGGAAAAGTGTCTGGCCACCTGCCAGGACCATACAATGGGATTATGTGGGCCCCAAGAGAAGGAACCTGGCTGGACACCCCTGTTGGTTCAGCAAGGAACCAGCCCAGATTTTTGGAACCTGAAAGCACTGAGGTCTTAAATCATGAAACTGGGCTTGAAAGAAAAGCACAAAAATAAGAAAATAAAAGAGAAAGAAAGAAAAGAGAAGGGAAGAAAGCCAGGGCCCTCGTAAGGTTCTTGGTCTTCCGGGGAGAACAGGAAAATCCACCTCGGTTCATTTCTTGGAACTCGATGAGAAAACAGAGGTACTGTCTTCACTTGAATTAATTTTTACATTTAAAATCTGATAGTAAGAAGGAAAGGGTACGTTAGAACTGCAAGAAAATATATGCAGTAACTACAGATTTTATCATCCAGTAACCTGGGACTCTGAGGGCAGGACATGCCTAGGACAGCAGGGTACGAGCACCCTGCAGAGCGGGCTGCCTCCTGAAGGGCCACCCACACCAGGCACGGCGGGGGTGGTCAGGATCCTGTGCCCTCACTCCTTCTCATTCCCTGGGAACTGGCAGGAACATCGCTGCTCTGGGCCAGTGCTGGCCTGGCTCCTCACGAACGCAACACTGCCAGCTCTGCGCCCCTCAGACTGCTGGAAGCATCCCGTAGATCAGAGGATTCTGATCCCTGCCTCCAGGGATGGGGTGTCCACGGCACGTCTCCAGGTATGAACACACACAATTTGGCATGAACACATGCCTTTGGCGTTCTCTGGGACTAGACTGGGCAGATTAACAAGGTACCTTTAAACAGGGGTGCCCAACCCCAAGTGTGGACAGGTACTGGTCCGTGGCCTGTCAGGAACTGGGCCGCACAGCCTCCCGTCGGATCAGCGGCGGCATTCGATCTCATAGGAGCATGAACCCTGTCGTGAGCTGTGCGTGTGAGAGGGATCCAGGTTGCGTGCTCCTTATGAGAATCTAACTAATGCCTGAGCATACGAGGTGGAACAGTTTCATCCCAAAACCATCCCCCCAACCCCACCCTCATCCCACAGTACGTGGGAAAATTGTCTCCCATGAAACTGGTACCAAAATGGTTGGGGACGGCTGCCTTAAAACACAAGGTTGATTTATAGTAAAGGAGCAACAGGCACCGAAATTCACACTCAGGAGAGGAGCCGTGCGAGCTAAAGGAACACAGTCCGTTCCCGTCCTGCAGGAAGCCATCAGCGCTTCTCAAACGTGACGCGGTTCTCACCTAGTCCAGCGGCTATTTCTCCTCCCACTTTCCTGGAGGAACACCGCTGCTAGGCCCTAGGTTTCTGACAGCTCAGCCACTTAAAAGTAGGAAATCCAGCTGCCTAGGACCCATCTTGGTGTGTCCTTCACTCAGTGTGACCTGGAGATTCCTTCGCCTTGTTATGTGAATGTTACGATCTCACACCCAGAATGCAGCAAACATGAAAACCTGTCATTATGAATGTGGATTCCTCCACAGAATAGACGCCTAAATCATGGTATACGGTCTAATTAAATGGAATATTAAAATGAATGAGCTAGAATTTATAAATCAACATAGATAATCTAAGAACAAATTAAATACAGGGACACCAGCAAGATGGAGAACTAGGAAGCCCCAGGGAGTCCTCGTTCCCCCACCGAGACACTGGTTAGCAATAATCTATGGACAGAACAGCCAGTGTGAGAACCCCAGAATCCGATTAGGAGGTTGCAGCACCCCCTGTGAGTGCAAAGCCCAGAAGGGCCACATCTGAGCAGATAAGAAAAAAAGTCACAGCATTTTGTGCCCTGGTGCCTACTGCTCCCTGGCATGATAGGAGCCCTCAATGCCCTCAATGCTTGGCTGCTCTCTAGAGAGGGAGAGTGAAGAGTGGAACATGCATCCAATGTTCTCGCTTTTCAGGGGGCTGCCCATGGGACTGGTATCTGCCTCACCTGACTCAGAGCACTGAGGGAAACTTGCAGAGCTTGAATGTCAGGTAAGGGGCTGCTGAGAGCAAAGACGAGCATCTTCGCTCAGCACAAAGGATCCTGCGGAGCCACAGACACCAGAGGACAGAGGCCTCCTGAAAAACATGGGCAAAACTCTAACTGGGAAACTACTTACACAAGCCCAAAGAAGATGCATCCCCAGAAAAGGCTGAGAAGTTCCAGAATCTCTACCTGGGCTGATTAGTGAAAGTACAAAGCAAGTTAACAAAGACTGCGGGAAGCACAATGTATTTGAAATGCCCAAATATCAATACAAGGTCACAAGGCATACAAAGAAACAGGAAACCAAGGCCCAGTCAAAGGAACAAAATATATCTCAGGAAATGACCGTAAAGACACAGAGATGAATTAACTGATCATTCAAGGTAACCTTCTTAAAGATGCCCAGTGAGCTAAACAAGAACAGAGACAACTGAACGAATTCAGAATACGACTTATGAACAAAATGAGATAACAACAGAGATAGAAATTATAAAAACTGAACAAAACAGAAATTCGGAAACTGAAGAATAACTGAATTTTAAGATCAATAGAGGAGTTCAACAGCAGACTTGATCATGGAGAAAGAACCATCAAATTTGAAGAAAAATTATCTGAAATTATTGAGTGAGAGGAGGGAAAAAAAGCATAAAGAAAGTAATGAGAGCCTGTGAGACTTACGGGAAAACATCAGGCAGAACAATGGAGGTTTTTTACCCCAGAGACGCTGTGGGTTTGATCCCAGGCCACTGCCATAATGTGAATACCACAGCAAGGTGAGTCACAAAATATTTTGGTTTCCCGGCGCATATAAAAGTAATGATTATACTATACTGTAGCCTGTTAATTGTGCAATAGCATTATGTATAAAAAAGTATATACCTTAATGAAAATACTTTCTTTGGCTAAAAATGCTAATGATCATCTAAGCCTTCAACAAGTCATAATTTTTTCATGATGGGGGCTCTTACCTCAGTGTTGATGTCTGCTAACTGATCAGCGTGGCAGTTGCTGAAGACTGGGGTAACCGTGACAATTTCTTAAGACAACAATGAATTTTGCTCTTCAATGGACTCTTTCCTTCACAAAAGACTTATCTGCGGTATGTAATGTCGTTTCACAGCATTTTACTCACAGTAGAACCTCTTTCAAATTTGGAGCCAGTCCTCTCAAACCCTGCTGCTGCTTTATGTAATATTCTGAATACCTTGTTGTCACTTCAAGAATGTTTGTCTCTACCAGGAGTAGATTCCATCTCAAAAAACAACTTTCTTTGCTCATTCGTAAGGAGAAACTCCTCATTCATTAAAGTTTTACCCTGAGATTGCAGCAATTCAGCCACATCGTCAGGCTCCTCTTCTCATTCCAGTTGTCTCACCGTTTCCACCATCTGCAGTTCCTGCCTCCATTAAAGTCTTGAACCACTCAGAGTCACCTGTGAGGGCTGGGATTAAATCCCTGCAGACTCCTGTTCATGTTGATATTTTGCCTCCTCCCATGAAACAGGAACGTTCTTAATGGCATGTAGAGTGGTGAACTACTTCCAGAAGGCATTCCATTCGCTTTGTTCGGATCCAGCAGAGCAATCACTATCTACGGCAGCTATAGCCTTAAGAAATGTATTTCTTTCTTTTTTTTTGAGACGGAGTCTTGCTCTGTCACCCAGGCTGGAGTGCAGTGGAGCAATCTCCACTCACTGCAAGCTCTGCCTCCTGGGTTCACGCCATTCTCCTGCCTCAGCCTCCCGAGTAGCTGGGACTACAGGCGCCCGCCATCACGCCCGGCTAATATTTTGTATTTTTAGTAGAGACGGGGTTTCACCGTGTGAGCCAGGATGGTCTCGATCTCCTGACCTCGTGATCCACCCGCCTCGGCCTCCCAAAGTGCTGGGATTACAGGCGTGAGCCACTGTGCCCAGCCAGAAATGTACTTCTTAAATAATAAGATGAAAGTCAAAATTACTCCTTGATCTATGGGCTGCAAATGGATATTGTGTTAGCAGGCATGAAAACAATATTAATTTAGTACATCTTCATCAGAGCTCTTGGGTGACCAGCTGCATTATAAATAACCAGTAATATTTTGAAAGACATTTTTTTCCTGTGCATAGTTCTCAACAGGGGGCTTAAAATATTCAGTAAACCGTGCTATAACAAATGTGCTGTCATCAAAGCTTTATGTGCCATTTATAGAGTGCAAACAGAGTAGATGCGGCATAATTCTTAAGGGCCTTAGAATGTTCAATATGGTAAATAAGCATTGGCTTCGACTTAAAATCACCAACTGCGTTAGTAATTAACAAGACAGTCAGTCTGTCCTTTGCAGAATTGATGCCAGGTATTAACGTCTCCTCTTCAGCTCTAAAAGTTCGAGATGGCATCTTATTTCAATAGAATGCTGTTTCATCTACATTGCAAATCTGTTGTTTAGTGTAGCCGCCTTCATCAAGCAGCTCAGCTAGATCTTCCGGAGAACTTGCTGAAGCCTCTACATTAGCATTTGCTGCTTCACCTTGTGCTTTTATGTTATGGAAATGGCTTCTTTTCTTAAGCATCATGAACAGCTAACTTCAAACTTTTCTCCTGTGGTTTCCTTACCTCTCTCAGCCTTCACAGAATTGAAGAGCGTTAAGACCTTGCTCTGGATTGGGCTTTGGCTTAATGGAATATTGTGGTTGATTAGATCTTCTACACAGACCACTACAACTATCTTCGTATCAGCAACAAGGCTGTTTTACTTTCTTATTTATGTGTCCACTAGAAGAGCACTTTTAATTTTCTTAAATAACTTTTCCTTTGCATTTATAACATGGCTAACTACTTGGAGCAAGAGGCCTAGCTTTCAGCCTATCTTGGTTATTGACACACCTTCCTCACTAAGCTCACTAACGTCACTTCCAGCTTTTGACCTAAAGTGAGAGATGTGTGACTCTTGCTTTCACTTGAACACTTAGGTCATTGTAGGGCTATTAACCTAATTTCAATATTATTGTGTCTCAGGTAATAGGGAGGCTCAAGGAGAGGGAGAAAGGTGAAGGAATGGCCAGCTGGTGGAGCAGTCAGAACATACATAACATTTATCGATTCAGTTCACCATCTGATATGGTATGGGCAAGGCGCATGGCACTCCAAAACAATTGTAATAGTAACATTAAAGATCACCAATCACAGGTCACTATAACATATATAACAATAAAGAAAATTAAAATTATTATTATAAATTGTACTAAAATGTGACACAGAGACAAGAAGTGAGCACATGCTGTTGGAAAAATGGCACTGGTGGACTTGCTGGATGCAGAGTTGCCGCAGACTTTCCATTTGCAAAACAAAAACACAATGTCAGTTGTGCACGGTGGCTCATGCCTGTAATCCCAGCACTTTGGGAGGCCGAGGCAGGCAGATTGTGTGAGTCCGGGAGTTTGAGACCGGCCTGGGCAACATGGCAAAACACTGTCTCTACAAAAAATAAAAAAAAATCAGCCAAGCGTGGTGGTGCACACCTGCAGTCCCAGCTACTTGGGAGGCTGAGGTGGGAGGATTTCCGGAGCCTGGTAGGTGGAGGTTACAGTGAGCCAAGATCATGCCACTGCACGCCAGCCTGGGAGACAGAGCAAGACCTCATCTCAAAAAAACAAACAAACAAAAAAACCCACAATGTCTGTGAAGTGCAATAAAGCAAAGCACAATAATAAAAGATATGCCTGTGCACACATTATGGGAGTTCCAGAATAGAGAGAGAAAGAGGTGAAGGCCTATTTGAAGAAATCATGGCTGAAAACTTCCCAAATTTGAGCAAAAGAATGGACATAAGAGTTCAAGAAATTCAACTAGAATAAATCCAAAGAGACCCATTATCATCAAACTGTCAGAAGTCAAAGACAAAATAAGAATCTTGAAAACAGCAAGAGAAAAGCAACTCATCAGTGCAAGGGAGCTCCCATAAGATTATAAGTGGGTTTCTGAGCAGAAACTTTGTAGGCCAGAAGGGAGTAGAATGATATATTCAAAGTGCTATCAGAGTAAAAACAGTCAGCCAAGAACACTATATCCAGCAAAATTATCCTTCAAAAATCATCCCAAATAAACAAAAGCTGAGAGAATTCAACACCACGAGATATTTCCTACAAGAAATGCTAAAAGGAGTTCTTCGAGTTGAAATAAAAGGACACTAGACAGCAATCCCAAACTACATGAAAATATGAAACTCTCTAGAAAAGGTAAATATATAGACAAATGTAGAATCCTGTACTATCATAATGTTAGTATATAAATCACTTTTAATTCTTGTATAGAATTTAAAAGATGAAAACATTTAAAAATAATCATAGAACTCTGTTAATGGTTACACAATATAAAAGAGATAATTTGCGACGTCAATAGCCAAGTGTAGGGGAGTGAAGGTGTAAAAGAGTACAGTTTTTGAGTGCAATTGAGGTTAAACTGCTATCAGTTTAAAATGGATCATTATAACTTTAAGATATTTTATGTAATCCCAAGGTGAATATAAAGAAAATATTTATAGAAGACATACAAAAGGAAATAAGAAATCAAAGCATGTCACTATAATTTTTTTTTTTTTTTGAGACAGAGTCTTGCTCTGTCACCCAGGCTGGAGCGCAGTGGTGCAATCTCGGCTCACTGCAACCTCTGCTTCCCAGGTTCAAGTGATTCTCCTGCCTCAGCCTCCTGAGTAGCTGGGATTACAGGTGTGCACCACCATGCCCGGCTAATTTTTGTATTTTTAGTAGAGATGGGTTTTCACCATGTTGGTCAGGCTGGTCTCAAACTCCTGACCTCGTGATCTGCCTGCCTCAGCCTCCCAAAGTGCTGGGATTACAGGTGTGAGCCACCACACCTGGCCTATAAAAAATTTTGAAAGTACAAAGGAAAGGAGTAAGGAGGAAAAATGGAGACAAAATAGCCATAAAACATACAGTAAACAATTAACAAATTGGCAGTAGTAAGTCTTCCTTACCAGTAATTTCTTCAAATGTAAATTAATTAAACTCCCTAATCAAAAGACAGATTGAGTTGATTAAAAATGAAAAGAAAAAAAAAAAGAAGATCCAACTATATGCTGTCTACAAGAAATAAACAGGAACACAACAATGGTAAGAGACCTCAATACTCGCCTTTCAACAATGGATAGAAGAAACAGATAGAAGACCAGTAAGGAAGCAAAGGACTTGAACAGCACTATAGACCAATTGGACCTAACGGACGTATATAGAACACTCTACACAACAACAGCAGAATATATAATACATTCTTCCCAAGGGCACGTGGAATATCTTCCAAGAGAGACCATATGATCGGCCACGAAACAAGTCTTAACAAATGTAAGAGTTTGAAATTATAGAAAATATATGTTCTGATCACAAAGGAATGAAACTAGAAATCAACAGCAGAAGGAAAACGGGAAACTTCACAATTAGTGAATATTTAAAAACAGACTCTTAAGAAACCAAAGGATCAAGGAAGATACCACAGGGAAAAATAGAGAATATCTCAAGACAAATGAAAACAAAAACGCAACATACCAAAACTTATAGGATGCAATGAGAGCAGTATTAAGAGGGAAATTCATAGAGGTGAAAACTTACATTTAAAAAGAAGATGGATCTCAAATAAACAACCTAACTTTACATCTCAAGGAACTAGAAAAAGAAGAACAAGTTAAACATGAATTAGCAGAAAGAAGGAAATGGTAATGATTAGAACAGAGATAAACACAATAATAGAAAACAATAGAAAAATCAACAAACTGAAGAGCTGGATTTTTGAAAAGATCAACAAAATTAACAGAAACTCTTAGCTAGATTAGCTAAGAAAAAAAGAGGGAAGACTCAATTAAATCAGAAATGAAAGAGGCCCCTTACAACTGATGCCAC
Organism: Homo sapiens; assembly: GCF_000001405.40. Taxonomy (NCBI): domain Eukaryota; kingdom Metazoa; phylum Chordata; class Mammalia; order Primates; family Hominidae; genus Homo; species Homo sapiens. The sequence continues at coordinate 56,585 of NT_187558.1, forward strand.
ATAAATAAAAAATATTGTAAGAGAATGTCATGAACAATGGCTATATACCAACAAATTGGGTAATCTGGAAGAAATTGAAAAATTCCTAGAAATATACAACCTACCAAGATTGAATCATGAACAAATAATTATCTGAAAAGACCTATAACTAGTAAAAGATTGAATTAGTCATCAAAAATCTCCCAAAAAAGAAAAGCCCAGGACCAGATGGCTTTACCGGAGAATTCTACCAAGGATTTAAATAATTAACAGCAATCCTCCTCACATTCTTCTGAAAAGCTAAACAAGAGGAACACTTCCAACCTCAATGTATAAGGCCAGCATTATCCTGATACCAAGCCCAGACAAGAAAGCTACAGGAAAAGAAAACTACAGACCGATTTCCCCGATAACTGCTGATGCCAAATCCCCAACAAAATACTAGCAAACTGTATTCCGTAGCACATTAAAGGATTATACTCCCTGACCAAGTGGGATTTACTCCTGGAATGGAAGGATGGCTCAAAATATGAACATCAATCAAGATAATCTGCCACACTGTCATAATGAAGGACAAAAACTACACGACTGTCTCAATTGATAGAGAAAAAGGACTTGAGAAAATCCAACACCCTGTTATGAGAAAAACTGTAACTCTGCATGGTTGCGTCCTGTTTGCACCCTGAAGTTCTCCAGACCTACTTTCCCAAAGGACCCAACAGATTCAAGCCTCATCTGCAGGAGAATCGAGTCTCTTCCATCTCCGCGGGCCTGGGCAGGTCTGTTTCCTCTCTGGGTCTGCCATTCCCTTCTGACCAGGGATAGAGATCAGCCTGGAAAGCTGTAAGCTGCACCTGCCTGAGGAACCTAGGTGTGCCCTTTCCCTGTGACCCTTCCCTGAGGGTGTTCCAAAGGCACATGGCAAGGCTGCTTCACCCCAGTCATTCACGGGACCCTGGGCCCTAGGAAGCCAGCTCCAGGCCTCTCCCTAGCATCACTGATCCAACAGGCTTGAACACACACCCTCCTTAACTTCCCTCCTTTCTCTGCATTGGAAACTAGGGGAGAGTTATTTGCCTAATTATGCACGTTGTTTAGTGCCTTTGAGCATCAACATTTAGTGTTATGCTCCTGAGAGGCCAAGTGCTTTACAGCATTTTCTTCAGTATTATATTCCATGTTAATTGCAAGCAGGCCTATTAAAGGCAGGGCTGACTTCACAAACAGCCAGCAAAAGCACAGAGGGGCCGCACTTGCAGGCAGCAGGCCTCAGGCTCATTAAGGAGACCCAGAAAGCTGAGGACTCCTTGCCCTTGAAAGGCCCTGTGTACAGCCAGCATGCCGGAAAGAGCCTCGGAGCTCCGTGGATTTCAAGGCAAAAGGGAGCCAAACATGCACGGATGCCTCTTTCCTGTGCCTGGGGGTTTGTTTCTTCAGGAAATTCCAAATGGGTCTCATTCCCTGGAATTTCAATTGCACCATTGCTTAGTCACTCAACAGTCATCTGTCACTCACCAAAGCCACAGAGTGGGGCCTGAGGGTCACTGGTGTCATGGATACACTTGCTGATTTGTGACCCAAGTCAGGTCTGGATTACAAAGGGCTTTGAATGAATGACTGAGGTTTTGAGGCCAGATGATAGAGAAAGGCAGCCATGGGGGATTTTGGAGAGAGGCCAGGGTGAGCGGTGGGAAGACCAGGCAGGAGAGTCCAAGGGCATCCGTGGAAGGGCACCTGGGGTGGAGAGGACTCGTGGTCCAGATGAGGCACCACTGAGCCGCGTTGGGAGAAGCCTGCAGATGGGAGGTCACTTGGCTGTGAGCAGATCCACGCCTGGGAGGTGGCAGAAGCCAGATGGGATACCATAAAAATCCACATTTAATTTTTCCACTGGTGTGTGCGCTTCTGGAACTCCCCACACAGCAGCCCACACAGCAGCTTAGGAGTGGGTCCATATTCCGACTACTTCATCTCTGGTGTAATCATGACACTCTCTGGCTACCCCAGGAGGGCATGCACCAACATGGCGCTGGGCATAAATTTGAGACTGAGCTGCCTTAGGTTCGAGTCCAGCTCTGAGCCAGCCAGCTGTCCTCAGCAGTGCTCTGGACCCCTCTGCCCTTCAGTTCCTCATTTATAAGGTGGGAGTAATGGAAGCATATCTGAAGCGTGAAGCCGGGGCCTTGTCTGCTCTGAGCTCCCTCAGGATGTTCCAGGCATGTAATGGGGAGAGCAGAGGCTGAGACCTGAGAGCCAATCACATGTTTCCCATCAAGAAGTTTCGACACAGATTCTAAGTCTGAGGAAAAAGGCAAGACTACAGTTCAGCAACAAACTGGGGACTTCAATAACACACTTTCGTTATGAGTAGAACAAGTAGGCAAAAGATCAACAAAGAAATGTCAGATTGGATCAGTTGGCCGGCATCTGCAGAGCATGAGAGCACGCCACCAGCAACCACAGAGCACGCCACCCCGCAACCGCAGAGCACTCCACCCAGCAACCGCATCCGCAGAGCACTCCACCCAGCAACCGCAGAGCACTCCACCCAGCAACTGCATCCGCAGAGCACTCCACCCAGCAACCACAGAGCAGTCCACCCAGCAACCGCATCTGCAGAGCACTCCACCCAGCAACCGCAGAGCACTCCACCCAGCAACCGCATCTGCAGAGCACTCCACCCAGCAACCGCAGAGCACTCCACCCAGCAACCACAGAGCAGTCCATCCAGCAACCGCATCTGCAGAGCACTCCACCCAGCAACCGCAGAGCACTCCACCCAGCAACCGCATCCGCAGAGCACTCCACCCAGCAACCGCATCTGCAGAGCACTCCACCCAGCAACCGCATCCGCAGAGCACTCCACCCAGCAACCGCATCCGCAGAGCACTCCACCCAGCAACCGCAGAGCACTCCACCCAGCAACCGCAGAGCACTCCACCCAGCAACCGCATCCGCAGAGCACTCCACCCAGCAACCGCATCCGCAGAGCACTCCACCCAGCAACCGCATCCGCAGAGCACTCCACCCAGCAACCGCATCCGCAGAGCACTCCACCCAGCAACCGCATCCGCAGAGCACTCCACCCAGCAACCGCATCCGCAGAGCACTCCACCCAGCAACCGCATCCGCAGAGCACTCCACCCAGCAACCGCATCCGCAGAGCACTCCACCCAGCAACCGCATCCGCAGAGCACTCCACCCAGCAACCGCATCCGCAGAGCACTCCACCCAGCAACCGCATCCGCAGAGCACTCCACCCAGCAACCGCAGAGCACTCCACCCAGCAACCGCATCTGCAGAACACTCCACCCAGCAACCACATCCGCAGAGCACTCCACCCAGCAACCGCAGAGCACACACACTTCTCAAGTGTGCTGGAGCTTGCTCCAGGAAGAACCACATGTTGGGCCACAGAGAAAGTCTCAATAAATTTCAAAGGACTGAAATCATACAAAGTGGGCTCCATAACCACAATGGAATTAAGTTAGAAATCAATAACAGAAGGAAATTTGAGAAATTCACCAAAATGTGTAAAATAAACAACACACTGTTACATAACCAACAGATCAAAGAAGAAATCACAACGGAAATTAGAAAATACTTTGAGATGAAAGGCATTACAAGAAAACCACAGACCAATATCCTTAAGAATATAAATGCAAAAATCCTCCACAAAATACTAGCAAATCAAATCCAGCAACATATAAAAAGAATTATGTGCAAAACCAGATGAGATTTATCCCAGGAACACAAGGTTGATTTGATATCCAAAAGCCAATCAATGTAATACAGCATATTAATGGATTCATACAAAACCACTCTTAGAAGAAAACATAGGAGGAAATCCTTATGGCCTGAGTTTGGCAATGATTTCTTCAATATGGCACCAAAAGCACAAGTGATAAAAGAAAAGAGAGATAAATGACACTTCACTAAAATTAAAAACTTCTGTGCTACAACCAATGCCATTAAGAAAGTGCAAAGATAACCCACATAAAAGGAGAAAATATTAGGAAATCTTCTAGAGTAATCCCCTCTTATCTGCAGGCAATACATCTCAAGGCCCCCAGTAGATGGCTGAGACCACAGAGATTACCAAACACTGTATATACTGTTTTTTCCCATATATGTATACCTGTGATAAAGTTTAATTTATAAATTAGGCACAGGAAGAGATTATCAAGGATAACTATAATAAAATTGAACAATGATAAAAATATGCCGTAATAAGACTTATGTGAATGTGACCTCTCTATCGCTCTCTCTCTCAATACCTTAATGTACTGTACTCACCCCTCTAAATACCTTATTGTACTGTTCTCACCCCTCTTTGTTGTCATCATGTGAGATGACGGAATTGCCTCCGGGAGGAGGTGAGGTGAGGTGAGGTGAATCACGCAGGCATTGTGACATTGTCTTAGGATGCTGTTGACCTTCCGATGAATGATCGGAAGGAGGATCACCAAGCCATGATGAGCAATGGCTGGATGTCAGGAGCAGACAGTGTAACGACTAAGGAAGGAGCAGTCTATACAGTGTGGATACAGTGGACAAAGGGATGGTTCACAGCTGGGAGGGATAGCTTGGGCTGGCGCAAGGTCTCACTGTGCTACTCAGAACAATGCACAGTTCCATGTCGTATTTTCAAGCCATGGCTGACCACAGGTAACTGAAACTGTGGAAACCAGGACACCAGGTAAATGGGACCTGCTGTATCTGATAAGGGACTCATATCCAGAATATGTAAGGAACACTTAAAACTCAAATAAAATAAGGGTTATTAACCCCATTTTAAAATGGGCAAAGGATTTGAATAGGCACTTCTCAAAAGAAGATGTACGAATGGCCAGTAAGTGCAAGAAAAGATGCTCAACATCATTAGTTATTAGGAAGAAGCAAATCAAGACCACAGGGCGATGCTACCTCATACACTAGGAGGGTGATCCTCAAAAAGACAGAAAATAGTCTTGACAAGGACTTAAGAAACAGGAACCTTCTTTGGGAAAGAAAATAGTGCAGACAAAAACAATGAAAAGGCGCTGAAAATGAGTTCAACATAGAGTGACCACATGGCCCAGCAATCCCCCCCTAGGTGTGCGTCCCAGATAATTAAAACCATACATCCAGCCAGGCTAAGGGGCTCATGCCTGTAATCCCAGCACTTTTGGAGGCCGAGGCAGGCAGATCACGAGGTCAGGAGTTCGAGACCAGCCTGACCAACATGAAGAAACCCCATCTCTACTAAAAATACTAAATTATCTGGGCGTGATGGCACATGCCTGCAGTCCCAGCTACTCGGGAGGCTGAGGCAGAAGAAACGCTTGAACCCAGGAGGCAGGGGTTGCAGTGAGCCGAAATCGCACCACTGCATTCCAGCCTGGGCGACAGAGCGAGACTGTCTCAAAACAAACAAACAAACAACAAAAAAGTACATCCAAATAAAAACTTGAACACAAACGTTTGTAGCAGCACCACTCATAAAGCCAAACAATGGAAACAGCCCCGATACACGTGACTGGCGAATGGCTACAGAAGATGTGGTGTATCCGTACAACAGGATGTTATTTGGCCATGAAAAAGAATGAAGTACTTATAAAAAAAAAAGAAAAAGAAAAAAGAAATGAAGTGCTGACACAGGCTACAAGGTGGATGAGCCTGAAAACATTATGCGAAGTGAAAGAAGCCAGTCGCAAAAGACCACGCACTATATGTTTACATTTTGAGAAACGTGCAGAACCCATAGATACAGAAAGAGGATTTGTGGTTCTTTAGGGCTGGGGGTGGGGGCAGGGCTGGTGGCTGAGAGTAGCTAAAGGGTGTGGAGTTTCTTTTTGAGGTGGTGAAAATTTTCTAAAATTGACTGTAGTAATGGCTGTAGAACTCTGTGAATATACTGAAAACCATTGTACACTTTAAATGGGTGAATTGCATGGTATGTGAATTATAACCCAGTAAAGCTGTTTAAAAAATAGTGGGGGGCGGGTGGAGGGAATGAAGAGAAGGTGGTTAATGGGTACGAATAAACGGTTTGGTAGGAGGGGTGAGTTCTAGTGTTGATAACACAGTGAGGGGATTATAGTTAACAACAACATACTGTATATTTTGAAATAGCGAGAAGAAAAGATTTGAAATGTTCCCAACATGAAGAAAGGATAGACGTTCGAGGTGATGAACGTCCTAAATACCCCAATTCCATCATTACACATGGCATGCGTGTATCCAAATATCTCATGCACCCCATAAATATGTAAAATGTTATGCATCAATAAACAATTAAAGGTATAAGCGTTGCAGAGTGTCTTCCTTCCAAATAATACAGTATGAAAAGGGAAAAAGAGCAACTTTACAGTGGAGAAAACTGGAAACCTCTGCCTCAGCCACATCGCCGAGGTTGACATCACCGGTGACAAGTCACGCAGACAGCAAGGACGTTGGTGTGATGCTGTGGGAAGGTCACTTTCCATCCTCCCCACAACCCGTGACCCCAAACTAATCACAGGAAAAAGATCAGACAAGTCCCAAATGAGGGACATTCCACAAAATACCCAACCAGTCCTCCTCAAAACTGTCAGGATCACTAAAAATAAGGAAAGTCTGAGAATCTGTCACAGCTGCGAGGGCCCTAAGGAGACATGAGGGCCAACTGTAACATCATACTTTGGATTCTGAGGTAGAAAATGGATATTAAGGGAAAACTGAGGGAATGTGAATAAAGTATGGACTTTAGTTCCTACTACTGTATCGACATGGGCTAATTCACTGTGACAAAGGTACAGTATAATGTGACAGGGTAAGAGTAGGGGAACCTGGGTGTGGAGTATACAGGAACTCTGTGCTATCATCACAATTTTTCTTTATATCTAACAATGTTCTAAAATGAAGTTTATTTTAAAAATAAAAAATAAAGACAGGGGTCCTTGATATCAATAAACCCCATGAAAATACATTCATTAATAATCAGGGAAGCACCTCCCCCAGCACATGTGCATATGACACCCATGCACACACTCAAGCACACGTGCACATGACACCCAGGCACACACTCAACCCAAGCACATGTGCACATGCACACCTGTGCACACACACTCAACCCAAGCATGCATGCATGTGTGCATCTGTGCCCACAGTCAACCCAAACACGTGTGCACCTTACACCCATGACACACCCAACCTGAGCACATGCACACATGCTCAACACAAGCACGTGCACACATGCATACCCATGCACACACAATGCAAGCACATGCACTTCTGTGCACACACATGATGCAAACACATATGCATTGCATGCCCATGCCCATGCAGTCAACCCAAACACGTGTGCACATGCACATACTCAACCTGAGCACATGCACCCATGTACACATGTGCACACACACTCAACCCAAGCACACATGCACATGATACCCATGCACACACACTATGCAAGCACTTCTGCACATATGTGCATGTACACATGCACTCCATCCAAGCACATGTGCACATAGACACCCATGCATGCTCAACTAGAGCACATAAGCAGATACATACATGTGCACACACACACAACCCAGGCATGCATGCACATGCACGTCCATCTGCACACTCAACCCAAGCATGTGCACACACGCACACTTGTACACACACACTCAACCCAAGCACATGTGCAGTTGCACGAATGTGCACACATTCAACCCAAGCACACACTCAACCCAAGCACAGCTCACCAGGGACAGAGGCCCAGGAACAGACTCTGACAAAACAATGAAGAGAATCCAAAAAGCAATTACACTGCCAAGTATTACGCAAACACAATTATTGGAATTGCTAGTCAAAAACGGTTAATAGAATAATTAAGATAGATTGACCTAAAAGCTGATTTTAAATTAACCTGACATGTGCATATACTATCTAAATAATACTCTTTCCTCTGATTTAGTCTCTCATTAAAATCAGATTTCACTGGGAGAAATTATACATTTGCACCATCATTGGGAAGAAGAAGCCATGTTCACTCACCCACTGATGAAAATAGGAGATTATTAGAGGAAGTAAAATGGGAATATATTTTCCTGGCATTCCCTGGCACAGTGTGATCTGTCCCTGTAATAAACCACCGCTTCCTCCTAGCCTGCCACTCGGGAGGTGAGGGAAGCCAGTTAAGATGGCCTCAACTAAGGACCCCGAACCACTAGTGTCTGTGTGTGTCTGTGAAGCTCGCTCACGGGGGAAGGGCCCGTGGGGTGGGCAAGAGCAAGGAAGAGAAATGAGCACTTGGAGACGCCAGGCAACCAGGAAGACCCAGAGGAAACTCGGTACGTCTGCATTGAACACGTCTTCATGGGTGAGAAAACTGCAGCCAAGGAAGGAGAGGGATTGTTTCCAGGCAAACAGCAAGCGCTGGCAGAGAGGCAGGGACAGAGGCTGTTTTCGGCATCCAGCATCTCTGTTCAGCTCATGATTCCCTGCCACACCCCAGATAAAATGAACCCCTGTGGGGGTTTGTCTGTGCACGCGTCCAGGGCCTATCCTGGTCTGTGTGAACAGACTGGCCCTGCATCCCAGCACAGAAGCCTGGGCTGAGCACCAAAGGCCCCCAACTGCGGGAGGCAGGTCCTGGTCACTGCTCCCTCCACGGCCATGGCTCCAGTGTGCAGATCTCAGCTAGTGTCTAAAACACGAAGGCACTGGGTCACTACAGCTATGGGCCTCCTTGTTCATTGAAACCCTTGGAGTTACCTCGTTAACACTTTTTAAATGGATAGCCACTTCACATTTTTTAAGATAAAGAATTTCCCCATTAAAATTATTGAGATTCAGTAATAACACATTATTAGGGTAAGCAGGACATGTAAGATGCTACAAAATGATCTATTACTTGGAGGATTTTAAAACCCTAATGAGAAAAACGCTCACTACCATTTATTCGTTCTCTTAGCCTTCAGCACCATTAGTCTGAGGAGCAGCATAGGGCTGGGGCTGGCTGCATCCACACTCACCCCTCTGATTGCTCCAGAACCTTTTCTTCAAAGAGAAATCTCTGCACTCTGCAGGGACGGTAAGTGGCGACCCTTAGGTAGCTGAAAGCACGGGGAAAAGAGCAGGAAGAGGTAGGAACATGGAGATGGAGAACACAGGGAGCGGCACGCTCAACGCAGGTGGAGTCTGTGTCCCCTCCAGCGATAGCCAGAACCAGGACCACCAGGGATCCGACATCACTGGCCCCATCCCGTAGGGTGGGCTGTGGGCAGGGAACAGCTGAATCGCCAGGCCACTCTCAGACCCTTGGCAGACACAAGGAATAACAGCTGTGGCCGCCACTGTGGCCGCAGTCCCAAAGTTTGGAGAGAAATAGCAGCAAGTAGCAGCACCACTGTCCGTCAGCTTGAGTGCTTCTCGGACAAAGGAAGACAGTTCTCCTGTTTCCCAAAGACTTGCAAAGGCTGTGTGTTCCTCAGGCAGCTACTGCGCCATCGGCCTCTGAGTGATAAGGAAAGGAACCAGGGCTCAAACCTACTCCTGAGTGAGTCAAAGCAACTCCGCACTCCCTGCCAGCACTGAGGGTGACCCCCGAGCCCTGCTCAGGAGCTGTGGGGCCCGAGATCTCCCCTCCGCCCCGTGGGCAGGGGAAGGGCAGCAAAGGCTCTCTGCCACGCCTGTGTTCGGGCTCCAGAACTCTTGGCCTGGTGTCTGGAAGATGGGGTTGCTGCCTTGGACAAGCCTCTCCTCCTTGCTTTTCCCTTTTTCTCACAGTGGGGTTTAAGCTAAGGTCCTATTCCTAGATCACTAATAATGATAGCAGGTGCCATTTATGAACACCTACTGTATCCCAGTGCTGCTCTCAGTGCTGTACCTGTATTCTCTCATCTCATTCTCTCAAGGGCCCAGTAAGGTAGCCACTTCATTAGCCATCTTTTACTAAAGAGCAGACTAGGCACAGAGACGGTAGGTCACTTTCTGAAGGTCACACAGCGAATGCAGGTGAGAACCAGGCTGTCCACGAAGGAAGTCTGACCCCTGATTGGGCTGTAATCACTGTGCTGTGCAGACACCCTCTCCATCAAGACCCTTCTGTGTTGCACCCCCCACCCCCACCCCCTTCTCTACTTGGAAATGAAGTAGCTTTCAGGGGACTCTTATGAGGCTCCCGCCTCCCCAGGCTGGCCCCACACAGCCCCAAGACAGGAGCCCCCAGTGGCGCCTTGGTGGGCTTCTTGAGGGTTGCCTTAATCTTCCCCAGCCACCCACGGGAGACACCTGAGGTTTGTGGCTTGTGCCACGCGGCTCCAGGGCCTCCAGCACCCACCTGCAGACACGGCTTCAGCCGGCCCATGCTCCTTCTGTTTCTTTCGCTAGCTTGTTTAGGTTTCATTCACAAACAGTAAAGCCCATTCATGTGACAGTTGTATACAGTCATGTAACATCTACCACAGTCAAGATGTGGAACATTTCATTCTCCTAAAAAGTGTTCTCCTGCCCCTTTAGATTCCCTCCTCCAGCTCCCAGCCCCAGGCAGACAGTGATCTGATTCCTGTCCCTGTAACTTTGCCTTTCCTGGAAGCTCATAGACATGGAACAGTACTCTATCTCTTCCACTTAACTTGATGATTTCAAGACTTATCCATGTCGTGTAGGCTTAATATTTTGTTCATTTTTTATTAATGGGTAGTATCTCATAATATGCATGCACCGTAGGTTACCAACTTGCCTGTTGATGGGCATTTGGGCTGTTTGCAGTTTGGATGTATTACAAATAACATTGGTGTGAGCACTTGTGTCCACATCTTTGTGTGGACATATGTTTTCATTTTCCTGGGGTAAATATTTAGGATTGGAATTGCTGGGTCATGTGGTAAGTGAATGTTTTACCTCTTAGATAGTGTCAGTCCATTTTCCAAAGTATTTCCATTTAAAATTCCAACCAAATTTCATGCATTCCAATTTAAATTGTATGTAAATTCCCATTGTTCTATATCCTTGTCAACACTTAGTATTGTCAATCTTTTTAACTTTAGACTGCTTTTAATGTGTACTCCTCTGATGGCAAGTGACGTTGATCATTTTTTCATGTGCCTATGGGTCATATATCTTTTTTGTCATGTATTTGTCCAAGTCCTTTTCAATTTTTAACTGCAGTTTTCAAATTATTGATTTATAAGATATCTTCATATATTCTGAGTACAAGCCCATTGTCAGATGTGGATTTTGTAAAATTATTCTGCCAGTTTGTAGTCTGCTTTTGCATTCCCTTAACTCTGTTTAATTTTGAGCAACCTTTTCAATTTTGCTGAATTTGTTTTATCATTTTTTATCATCTGTGCTTTCACATCTTGTTTCTAAAAAATGTTTATTCTAGCCCAAGTCATAAAAATTCTTCTGTATGTTTTCTTCTAGAACTTTAAAAGTTCTAATAATTTTCAGTCCATGATCCATCTCAAGATAATTTTGCATGTGGTGGGAGGTAAGGCTTGAAGGTTATTTTGTTTTTCCATGTAGATATCAACTTATCCTGGCACCATTTATTGAAACAGCTAGTTCTGAAAGAATTAAATTTTTACCTTTACCAGCAATCAAGGGACTACATAAATGTGGGTCTTTCTGACTTCCCCTTCGGCTCAGTTGGCCTCTGTGTCTTTCCTGATGCCAAAACCACACTGTCGTGATTACCATACCTGTATAGTAATTTTTGAAATCAAGTAGCGTGGGCCCCACAACCTTGTTCTTATTTTTCAAAGTTGTTTCTGGATATTTTAACCCTTTTGTCTTTCCATGTAAATCTTAGCATCAGCTGTCTCATTTCTTCAAAAGGACCATAAGTGGCACGGTAGTATATTGATGAGCAAAGACATACAATCGATTTTTCTATGAAAGTTAAATGCTGCAACTTGGCTAAACTAATTTTATTTGTACTAATAGTTTGGTTTTTATGGTGGTAAAATTCACATATTATAAAATTCACTATTTTCACAATTTTGAAGTGCACAATTCAGTGGCATCCAGTGCGTTCACCACGTTGTCGGCCCCAGGACATTCGCATCACCACGAAAGGAGACACCACATCAATCGAGGTGTCACTCTCTGTTCCTCCCTTCCCCCAGCTCCTGTCACCACTAACCTGCGTTCTGCCTCTTTAGATCTGCCCATTTCGTATAACTGGAATCATATAACATGCGGCCCTTTGTGTCCGTCTTCTTTCACTCATCATGTTTTCAGTTTCAAGGTTCATCCATATTGTGGCATGTTAGGGCTTCATTCCTGTTTGTGGTTGATGAGTAGACCACGCTTTCTCAGTGCCTATGCTAGTTGTTTGTAAGTTTCTTAAGATACTTCCTCATACATGATTCATGATATCTGCATAAAGAGGCAGTTCTTCTTCTCCCTTTCCAGTGTTTATGCTTTAACTTTAATGTCATTTAAAGCTACCTGTGTCTCTGTTCTTCAAGTGCAATTTTGGAAGACAGCATGTGTGTGGGTCTTGTTTTCATATCTATTCTGACAACCTCTGCGTTTTACCTGAAATCTTTGGTCCACTCATATTTAAATAAGTATTGACATGGTTATGTCTGGGTCTGTAATTTTATGCCTCGCTCTCTATACATACCCTCCAGTTCCCCCCTTTGTTTCTCATTTCTTAACTTTTTTTAGGGTTACGTGAATATTTACTGATTGATTTTTCTCCTCATTATATTTTGTGAATATACGTGAATATTTATTGATTGATCTTTCTCCTTATTAAGCTTTTTCAGCATGGTATCACCTCAGTAGTAGAGCATAATCAGTCCTAGACTAATTTAGGCCCCACCCAAAAAAGCTTAAAATCAAGCCTCAAATATATCAAATTGTTTCCAAGTAAAGTAACTTCATCCCTGAAAAGTTTTAAAATAATTTTAGGAGTGCAAAACTATCCAGGATCTAACAAGGAAAAGTACATGATGTCTAGCATACAGTAAAAAATCACCAAGTATGCAAAGAGGCAGGAAAACACATCATGTAATGAGGAATATCAACAAATTGAAACTAATTCACAAATGGCACAGATGAGGGCATTCCTAGACACAGATGAACTGTAGTTATTATCACTCTATTCCACATGATAACGTTAAGCAGAGATATGAAAAACATTAAAAAGTCCCAATTCTAACTTTTAGAGATGAAACCATTTCTGAGATAAAGAAAATTCACTGGATGAGATGATGAGATTAGACAGACACTACAAAAGGAAAGATTAATGAACTTAAAGGTATATAATAGAAACCATCCAAAGTGAAACACAGACAGAAAATAGACCCCTTCAAAAGGAGCAGAAAGCTAATTGGGGGGCAACTTCAATTGGCCTAAAATTCATACATTTAGAGTCCCAGAAAGAAAACAAAGAAAAAAAAACAGAAAAAAAAGGAGGACATAATGACTGAAATCTTTTGAAATTTGCTTTTTAAAAGCTACATATCCCAGTCCAAAAAGTATGAAGTACGAAGAAGGCACATCTTAACCAAACTGCTTAAACTGGGTAAGAACGAGACAATCTTAACAGCAGGCAGAAGAAAAGAGACGTGCTGGGTACAGAGGAACAAAGACAAGGATGACGACAGGTTTCTCCTTGAAAATGAGGCGAGCTAGAGGACAGTGGAACAAGCTCTGCAAAGTACTGCTGGGAAAAGCCTGTTGATTTGTGATTCTGTACCTGGCAACAAAAGAAACAGGGTGAGATATCAAGTTTTTCAGACATATAAAAGCTAAAATATTAATCATACCAGCAGATAAGCACTAAGAGATATTAAAGAAAGTCCTTTGGACAAGAGGAAAATGACATTATAGGAGACCCGATAGAAGCACAGGAAGGAAAAGCATGTTTTGCTGGGTATAGAACATGTAGAGAAATAAAATATGTGCCCACAAGGACATGAAGGAGGGCAGGGAATGGAAGTGTGCTGCTGTAAGGTTATTAAACCATCATGATGTAGTGTAATATTATTTGAAGATAGATTATGATAAGTTGAAGGTGCACACTATAAACCCTAAAATGTATACACACACATGCACACATACATATGTACAAACAGAGTTATGGGGAATAAGCCAACAGAAGTGATTAAATGGGATGATTAAAAAATACCCAGTCCAGAAGAAGGCTGGCTAAGAGGAACAGGAAACAAAAAGTAGACAGGATAAATAAAACGCAAATAGCAAGATGGTGGTTTAAGTCCAACCATTATCAACAGTGATGGTAGATGAAAATGATCTATAACCATTGGTCTAATTCAGTGGCAGTTTGTCAGACTTAATAACAAAGCAAGACCCAACTAATTGCTGCCTACCCAAAACCCACTTTAAATATAAATTCACAAATACATGAAAACTAATGGGATTTTAAAAGATACACTGTACTAACACTAGTCAAAAAAAAAAAAAGCGGGAACAGCTATATTAATATTGAACAATGAACACAACCAGCATTATAAAGAAGGTCATTTTGTACCAGCCTTTAGCTGGGCTTCTTTTATCTGCTTTGAGTGTGTGCAGTTCAGGGCCAGTCGGAAACATGAGTAGAGTCTGCCAAGTTTCCCCTTCTGGACGCTCCCCCCCTCCACTGGCCACAGCTTCCCCAATTTCATTCTGCTCCTGTTCCAGGCCATGAAGACTGTGGTCTTCCCTGAGGACCCCCAGCTCCTCATGCCCTAACTACATAGTGCTCAGGCTAACAGCCACGGTCAAAGAGAACGTGCTTCCTGCAACTCCTTTATCCCCCGTGTACACCCCAGGTCCGTCTTGCTGTTCACTCTCCAACGCCCACAAGCAGCCTGTTTGCATTGTGTACAGATTTTGAAGCTGTTTTCTGTAAGGGAGTGGGTTTGGTGTGATCTTACAAAATCCTTACAGGAAGCAGAACCAGCAATTACCCATCCACTTTTAGAACTGCCTTGTGCATGAACCTTTTGTCCTTTGAGTCACACTTGGAAAAAGTGTAGGCTTCGTCTGTTGCAAAGGTCATGGTGGCTTCACTCCAAGAAACTTGAGAAACAGTTATTGTTTTAAACAGGGCACAACTGCAGTGTCCTGAGGAGCCCCGCATGGCCATGGAGTTTGCTGGATGAGGGATATGGACGGGCTCCTGCAGCGAGAACAGAGACAGAGAGGGAGAGGGAGAGACAAAGAGGAGACAGAGAGGGAGAGGGAGAGACAAAGAGGAGACAGAGAGGGAGAGGGAGAGACAAAGAGGAGACAGAGAGGGAGAGGGAGAGACAAAGAGGAGACAGAGAGGGAGAGGGAGAGACAAAGAGGAGACAGAGAGGGAGAGGGAGAGACAAAGAGGAGACAGAGATACAGGCAGAGAGAAGTGGGAGAGACAGAGGAGAGAGAACATCTGGCAAACGCATTCCACTTTCGGATTCCTGCTCTGGACATGGAGGCCTGCTCTTCTCCATAAGCCCTCTCCCTTCCTTCAACGTCCTCGGGAAAAAGCGAAGCAGACCCTTTTCCCTCCCTCACCCTCCTTGCCCTCCACAGGGGCTCTTTCCCATAACCTGCTGGCTGGTCTCTGTGGCTGAGTTCTGCCCATCCAGGAATGGACTCACCAGTGTCCCGGTCCAGCCCCATCTCCCCTCCACACTCAGGAGCTCCTCGGGTGAACTCGGTGCTAGCCAGGCACTCAGCACCAGGCTCGCAGGCTTCTTCCCAACACCTCCAGCCTGTGCCCCACCTGCACCCACACCCATCATTCTGCTCCGGGCTCTGCCCCGAGGCCCCCAGTTCCCTGAGCTCGCCCATTCTCTGGCCTTCACCCACACTATGGCCTCTGCCTGGCCTCCCTCAGCCGTGTGGACGCCTCCTCTCAGCATCTAGGATCTAGGCCCATCTCCACGCCGTCTCAAAGACGCTGGGCTGCTGCCCACTGTGAGACAGGAGCCCCCTCTCTGTTCCACACCACCCTTGACAGGCACTTACCAGGCCCGTCCACCTCATCTGGTGGGTCGTGTCCGTCCTTTCATCAGATAGCAAGTCCCTCAAGGCCCAACTCCCTGAGCCCCCATCCCCCTCTTTGTCTCTCCTCCAGGGATTAGTGTCACCCCTGATCCCACTCCGGCTTGGCCTCACCCACAACAGCTGGCACCCACCTTGGCCCTCCTGGCTGTGGCCTTGACCCCTGGTGTTCATCCTGGCTCAACCCCTGGCCCTGGTTCTCTTGGTGCCACCTAAACAGTCTACACTGTCTTGTGTTCACCTTTTCTTTAATTATTTGTTTAGCAGAGCAGAGCTGATTTTACAAATATAAATCCGCCGGGCGTGCTGGCTCACCCCTGTAATCCCAGCACTTCCGGAGGCCGAGACGGGTGGATCATGAGGTCAGGAGTTCGAGACCAGCCTGACCAACATGGTGAAACACTGTCTCTACTAAAATTACAAAAATTAGCCAGGCGTGGTGGCGCGCGCCTATAATCCCAGCTACTCAGGAGGCTGAGGCAGGAGAATCACTTGAATCCAGGAGGCAGAGGTTGCAGTGAGCTGAGATCACGCCATTGTACTCCAGCCTGGGCCACAGAGCAAGACTCTGTGTTAAAAAAAAAAAAAAAAAAAAAAAAAAAAATATATATATATATATATATATATATATATATATATATATATATATAATTGTTTGACCAAATGCAGTGATTTCTCCCAGTTTGAGAAATAACTCCTCTTTATAAAGTCATGTTTTGGTGAAGCAGGGCTGGGTAAACCTGCGCCACAATGGGTGGGAGCCCGCAGGAGACAGGCCCTCGTCCAGCAGTGTCCAGGCAGCTGCATGGAGCAGAACACGCAGCCCTCACCCTAGAGCCCCGACTTGGGTCATGGGGGCTTAGAAAGAAAGAAAGGAAGAGACAAGACTGGATAAGAACCGGGTTTGGTCAAGGAAAGGAGGGGTGGACGTGCAAAGCCCTCCCGTGCGGGAGCCCTGGGACGGGGGCACCATCCCACAGCCCCCCGGCAGCCGCCGATCCCCCCGACACAGCCCCCCGGGAGCCGCCGATCCCCCCGACACAGCCCCCCGGGAGCCGCCGATCCCCCCGACACAGCCCCCCGGGAGCCGCCGATCCCCCCGACACAGCCCCCCGGGAGCCGCCGATCCCCCCGACACAGCCCCCCGGCAGCCGCCGATCCCCCCGACACAGCCCCCCGGGAGCCGCCGATCCCCCCGAGACTGGCCTGCACCTGCACATCTGGGGGGCGGGGCCCCGAATTGTCCTGCCACAGTGGCCCCGCCGGCAGGGAGATCAGAGGAAGAAATAAAACCCTCAGGCCTCACCTGGGATCCAGATTCGAGGCCGGAAGAGCAGACCTTGCCGGGGGCACTCACGCAGATCCCCACGTCTCAGGGCACCGCAGTCCTATTACCATAAGCGATCATGCAAAGGTGTGGTAAAAGCCATCTGTCATTCATAAAATGTGATGATGCCTTTCTGCAAAGACATAAGCCATCCCGGGGCTCAGCCAAGAAATGGCCATAAAATCCGGCATAATGACCTCAAAGCACACTTTCCAATATAAAGGTTATTCTAGGCAGCTGTTTCCTGATTATTTACGTGCAATAATTTTACACCCCCCAGACTCTGACACGCTCACAGCCTGACGCCCTCTCTCATCAGCAGCACTGAAGCGTCTGTGCGGAATTCTTACGATGTCGTGTTCCCTCAGCACCCATTTGGGGCTTTGTCCTCCCAGAATCGGGGCTCAGTCACCCTTGACACAGTTTCCAGTTCTCTGCCTTCCCCCAGTATCTCAGGGTGGTCCCTCCAGACACCTGCCTTACTCAGACGTCTCCTGGTGACCACCCCGCTATGGGACAGCCCACAGGACTCGCCCAGACCCCACACCCTGCAAGGACTGTGTAGCTGTCCCACAGCAGACCCCTCCCAGTTCCAGTGTGACCTCGTGGGGCTGTGGCCCACTGGCTGAGTGCACCCACCAGAGCTTCCTGTGGGAACCTGCTTGGGCAATACCCTGGACCCCAGTGAAGGCTTTGACCACAGCCCCTGTCCCTCTGGCTGTGTGCGTCCAAGACAGCGCCCCGTTCCCACCACCAGCCCTGCGAGGAGGCTGCCCTCTTCTCTCTGGATCTGTGAGTCACGCTGTTAACTCCAGCGTTTTGTGGAGTTGCCACCTGAGTCTCACCTGACTGGCACACCTCAACCCACCTCTCCTCCCGTCAGCGTGGTCCTTTGGCGTGGCTGTCTGGGTTGGAATAAACTGCATGCAGGTGTCAGCCAGTCTCCTGTGACAGGGACACTCGGTCCCGGGTCGGACACCTCGGCCTTAGGCCGTCCACCAGGACAAAGAAGGGCCGACCTCTGGAACCCCAGGTTAGTCGCCTGGAAAAGGGAGGAACGGTCACCACGACACTGCCCCTGCCCCCAGCTTAGGGACGTTTCTGAGGTAAACGAGATAATGGTTGGAGTGTTGAGCACAGTCTGGCCACAGAGAACGTGAGAAGCCATTGCCAGTGTCATCATGTGGTAATTGGGAAGTTTCCGTGAACCGCTGCAGCAGGGAGTTTAAAGAAGATCAGCAGAGGCCAAAGACTCCTTAGCGGCAGGGAGGGGAGGGCAGAGAAGAAATCAGGTGGGGGAGGTCGAAGGGAAGTGGGAACGGCGGGCACAGACGTCCCTGAGCCCGGATCCTGGTGCCCTCACCCTAAGCCAGCAGCCCACGACCACCCAGAGGCCAGGAGGCCCCCAGAGCCCCCAGCACCCACGGCTCCCTCCAGTGGGAAGAGTAGGATCAGCCCAGAGCCCCTGCTGAGCCTGGACAAGGGGAAGGAAGGGGAAGCTCAGCGTGGTCACCCGGCAGTTTCTCCACTCTGAACCGCGTGCTGGGGGTCACGGGGCTCCCGCTGCTGACGAGGAAGCAGGGCCCACCCTGTCCAGCCTCGGCCTCTGCAGACCTGAGCGCAGCCCCACGTATCCCCACGATGGTTGCCGTCCCTGCGTGGGTTTTATTTTCTCCACTCAGCGTCCTGTGACCACAGAGATGGCGTGAGGTAGGAAGCTGTACAGCCCCAGCACGGGGCCCACGAGAGGAAGTCTCCAGCAGCAGCTAATCCTGGGCGGAGATGACAGCCCGGAGCCTTGGGCTGTTTAAACTCCAGCTGCACGGAAAGCCTCCAGCTGAGAGAGTTTCCCAGAGTCTGTCCCCGGGGTCGAGCCTTCGGGGGCCAGGCCATGGGAGCTGGGTCTTCCTGTGCCTGGAGCCTTGTCCCCTGCGGACCTGCAGTGTGGCCAGATGATGAGTCTTGCACTGAGCAGAACTCCTTGGGCCTTAGGGGGTTCTGCCACCACCCAGCCATCATTGGCAGGGCAGGGAAGGCCGGCCCAACCCAGGTCTCGCTGCCTGGACCCTCTGGGGGAGCAAGCTTTGAGCAGGAGAGGGGCCAGGAGCCCCTGAGGAGCAGGAGCGAGGGCTCAGAGCCACAGAGAATTCCTCAGCCAGGCCTGTGACAAACACAGCTGCCACTCCTCTTCCAGCCCCACTGCCCCAGCCACATCACATTGGTCCTGGTCACTCGCAGGGAAGGTCACTCACTGTCCAGGGAGAAAACCCATTCCTTTCCTCTGGTTCTCTTCCCCAAAGACATGCAAATACTTTTTCCAGGAATTTTCTAACAGCAATGATGCACGGACCCTTAACTTTAAACTGACCTAGAGGCCCAGGAGAGCCCAATTATTTCTGGCACAGGCACCTGGGCACAGGGTCTGGCCTGGTTCACTCTGGAGTGCCTGAGTCATGGTGGAAATTCAATATTTGTTAAGGAAATTGGCAAAAGGATGAATGAAGAAAGAGAACATTGCACGGTGTGTTCAAAATGTCCGCAGCTATATTCCGCTGTGAATTCAGGAGCTTGTTCCACAGTGTGTTCAAAACGTCCGCAGCGACATTCCGCTGTGAATCCATGAGCTTGTTCCCCGGTGTGTTCAAAACGTCCGCAGCTACATTCTGCTGCAAGTTCAGGAGCTTGTTCCTAGGTGACTCCGGCACATAGGCTGGAAACACTACACTCACCGGGGGCTCAGCCCCGCACACCTGTGTGGGGAGGGAGCGGGGAGCGTCGGGGAAGAAGGAGGGGCCCGCCCCGTGAGACTGCGGCCAGGTCCTGCCCACGTGCCTGCTCTGCTGGGCTTGCAGCCAGGCCACCTCCCTGGCCCGGACCCCTCAGGGCCTCTGGACAGGGGCTGCAGGCTGCCTCTGGACTCTGCTCCTGGACTGGCCTCTGCTGGACGGCGGCGCCCTGCACCTCAACAGCCAGCCACACCAGGCATGGCCGTCACCTACAGGTGAAGCTACAAATTTAACCTCATATAAGGGAATATAACCATGGCCAAGGAGCGAGGCAAGGCTTTTTAAACAACATGTCAACAGCACAAATCAGAGGCAAGTGAGAACCAAGTTTTAAAAAGATGAATGTGGTATAATCAGCATTAAAGTTTCCTGTTCGGTCTGGGACTCCTTGGACCAAGCATTACTGGGAGGCAACCTGAATGCCCTCGGTGTGAGCGTGGAAAGATGGCAGCTTCAAGGCTGGGCTCCGCAGTGGGGCAGGCCCCGCCCTGGACGAGCACGCGGCCACACAGAGGGTCCTCTTGAGCACGGTGACTCCCGTACCCGTAACAGTCAGGCCGATTCTTCAAGAAAACATACAAACTAAAAGATGTCAAACACAGCAAATTGGCTGCCCATGGAGAAGGGTGGGAACCAAGAGAGGCACTGGCAGGAAAGGGGACCAGTCGGTGAGTGGAGAGAACCTGAGGGTCTGTGGGGCCAGCTTTCCCAGGTGCTAAGGAACAGGACCTCAGATCTCTGAAGCTAAGGGCTGGGGGAGCAGAGGAGGGAAGATGGGAAAGAGGGAGGGAGGAGTAGGGAGGGAGTGGGAGGTGGAGAGGAAGGGAGGAGGGAGGAGGGAAGGAGAGAAACGGAGGGAGGGAAGAGGGCGGAAAAGACAGGGAGGAGGGAAGGAGAGGCAGGAGGGACGGAGCGGGGAGGAAATGCAGGAAGGAAGGAGAAGGAGCAGGGAAGGAGAGAGGACGGAGTAAAAGGGAGGAGAAAAGGAGAAGGAGGGAGGGAAAGGGGTGGAGAGGGGCAGGGGAAGGGCAGGGAAAGGGGGTGATAAGAAAGGGCATGCGAACCTGATAAAGCCAGAGCAGGGTGTCCGATGTGCATCCATTTCCTCTGATAATAGGCTCCTCCCCAATAGCACAAACAATAAAGAGGAAAAACACGATACTATTTTAGGAATGGAGGTAAGTACGTGAGTGGAGATTCCAGCATCATTTGAAGATGACCAGGCAGCCCGCAGCAGTGGGGACCTCAGCGGCCCTCTGTGAGCCCAGGGTCCCAAACACGCATCGGGAGACCCAGCAGTGGATCCTGACAGGTACATCACACCTGGAGTGGGAAATGCCTCTCTCTTCAAGAAGCCGTGAAACCTCTTCTTTAACTTGAACTTATGTCAAATCCCAAGAACACTTAGACCATATTCTCCAGCCAAAATCCACAAAAGGAAGAAAATAACAGCAATTGTAGAAGCAGAAACCCTAACATCCTGAATAACAAGTAAGCAAACAAAATGCCTCTTGAACAATTCTTGGGTCAAGTGGGACAACAGAGTCCAAATTTCAGAACCACCACAAATAACAATTATGGAATATGATCTATCAGAACCCGAACAATGTGACTAAAACAGTCTCAGAGAAAAATTCACAGCGATAACAATTACGTTAGCAACAACCAAATACAAACAAGTAAATTATTCATTCAACTGACAAAATTAGACTCAAGAAAATAAAAAGAACAGGACAAATGTAAGAACCAAGAAGAAGAAAATAAGATGGTAAAAGTGTGTGATTTGAAGCAGGAGACTCAAAAGCGTGCTCGTGTGGTGGGCCTTTGAAATTCACCAGTGAACAAGCCTGTGTCTACCCTAATTCAGGAACTGTGAGGACGGCATGGACACACACGTGCACACGAGTCTAACGACATGGGAAACAGTTACGACAGAAGCACACACAAGTGCATAATTTACAGATTCCATGCAAATACTTTAAATTCTAAATAATATGGGTGATTATCCCAGGCAAATATGAATTGCCCCAACTAACCAAAAGGAAACAGAAAAGTAAGCAGACTATTATTAACCGCAGAAGAAATTGAGAAATCTATTAAAACCCAGCCCACTCACCTCCGAAATTCTACGCCCAGATAAATCACAAATTCTCTAATTCAAAATGCTGGTGCACCAATCTTTACAATATGATTAAAATTTCCTATTCATGAGCATAAAGAAAGAAAACCCTGTGTTCTTCTTAGGATTCCAGCATAATATTTGCACCAAAACATTGAAAAGTTGCACATACACATGAAATGAAACATACCAGCTACGGTAATAACGTCCTCACACATTACTTCATGTGGCAGATTAAAGACTCACACGTGTAACGACCACCTCTCGGCTTCAGTTGAGGTTTCCAAGCACTTTAAAACAAGTTCAATATTAGGAAATCTACCAATATAATTCAATGAAATAATACATCACAAAACAACCACTTCACCAGGGCAGGAAAGGCAGACAGCGTGAGCCACAGAGCAGCCAGCCATGAAGGAACCATGTGCCATCACACTTCTGCCCCTGGGGGACCCCGGAACCCCAGAAATCAACCCTAAACCAGGCCCACCCATCCCAGCAGCGCCCAGGGAGGCCTGGACGGTCACCACACACCCACAGCCACCATGGCAGCAGCCAGCATTCCCCTGCTGGGGGCAGGCAGTATCCGCTCCTTGGAGGGTGAGATGCCTCAGACCTGGGTGGGCCTCATCCATACACTTCCCAGCAACCGTGCATCTCGGCTGGCAGCCTTCACTCCCGGAGGGGTGGGTACCGGGGTGGAGGGACGGCATAGGGTGATCCGCAGCTGCCCTGAGGGTGCCCCAGCCTGGCTGTTTACCCGAGCCTGTTCCTTTCCCCAGAAGACCAAAAAATCATGAAATAAGAGCTACAAAGATGGGAAAGAGGCAAAATTCCCATATTTTGCAGATGGTTTGAGATTGATCTGGAAAACACAGAGGATCAACTGCAAGGCTGTAAGAAACAGGAGCACTTAGCATAACAAAATGAACACTAGTCAATAGTCACCGATATCCACTTAGAAAACAGGAAAATAAAGGGGGAAAATCTCATTCACAATAGCAGAAAGACACATAAAATCCTGATGGTGGGGAATTCAGTGAGAAAGGTAGAGTTGTTGAAGGAAACGGCAAAACTCTCCTGAGGAGCATTTTAGAAGCAATAAATGGAGACTTAGATTTTAGACTAGAAAACGCACATTGCAGAGTTGGGAAGACTGGATTTTTTTTTTTTCATTGAGCATCTGTATTTCTATACATGGAAAAGGACCATAAAGTTATTTTCAATGAGTTACTATTATTATCATTATTACTGTTATGAGAGGCGAAATCTTACAGCTGATGATTTCAGGCAGACTCTAGTGCCGGGCCTCAAGTCACAGGATCCTTCTCCCCCACCTCCTGGCCTGATCCTTTTCCCATCTCTGAGCCTCAGTCTCCTCCTCTGTGAAATGGACACAGTGACGGTAACTCCTTGGTGGCCTGAGGACAGGTGCACACGCATGAAGAGCCCCACCTGGCGGGCGCCAGGAAACCGCAGCTCAGCTCCCACTGTCAGGTGTGTCCTCCGGTGGGAAGGGGCAGGCGCAGGCGGGAACAGCCCCTGCTAGCTGGGGTTCAGCAGGGCCATGCTGTGCAGGGATGGGGACTCCTGGCTCAGGGACCTGCTTCCCGGGTCCTACACGGGCTTTGTGCTAGTTTATAATATGACTTGGGGCAGCCGCCCCCCCGAGGCTGGGAGGAGGCCTCAGGAGATGGGGATCACTGGTGATGCCCGGAGGAGGCAGCTTGCGAGAGAGTGGGCTCAGCAGCGTGGGAAAAGAGGGGCCAGGGTGTCCTTCAGCTAAATGAGCTGCTTTTTCCCAGGGCAGCAATGGTGCAGCCTTTGGCACCCAGCTTCTCACTGTTGGCACCAAGAGAGCCTCTGGGCAGTGCGGGCTGGTCCAGTAAAGACAGGGGCCTCAGCTCTGGGGCTCAGCAGGCCTCTGCTCTTAGCCCCACGCCTGGAATATGAGCTTCCCATGCCTGCCCCTTGAGGTCCAAGGTCAAAGTCAAGGTCAGCCTGCAGACGGTTGGGCTCGGGCTTGCTGGTGATCCTTTCTCACTGGCCACAGGGGAAATAAACGCTGAGGATAGGGCTGCTGTTCCCACTCACACACCGGGGCCATCAGGCCTCCCAGGGGAGACACTGGCAAGAGCGGATGTGATTCTGGGAGAAATCCCTCTGATATCCAGTTCTCGCCTTGCACAAAATAAGGGAAATTAAAGGTTTCAATAGTACTGATTAGACGAGAGTTCTGCACGGCTGACTGTGGTGAGAACATTCCCATGTAAGCTGGCTGCTCTGTTCTCCAGGCCTGATGCGATCATTTGTGCAGAACCGCCTTTAATATTAATGCTGGCGGTGGGCCCCGTGGCCTCTCTGACTCTGCCTCCCTGGCCCCTCCACCCTGTGCTGGCATCCACCGAGGTCTGCATCCTGCATGTGTGGGCCACTGTCCCAGGGGTGGGCTTCGAAGAGACCCTGCTCCCCTCCAGGCTCCTGGCAGAGTGCAGTGGTAACCCCTCTTAAAGAGACACGGTGGAAAGAGGGCCTCCACCCTCCTGGACATCAGGACGAGACGTAAAGTCTCCGTGCTCCTTCAGCTGCACGCAGATCGTCACTTTGCAGATGTGAAAACTGAGGCCCAGAGGGAGAAGGGGGCTGTCAAAGATCACATGAGGAGCCTCACGCAGGGCCAGGACTGCAACCCTTTTCTCTAAACATACTTTTAAATTAAAGTGTGTGGCATACCCAGGGATTATAAAACACAGATATTATAAATGTAGAGCTTCATAAACTGAAAACACTGGTGTAAGCCATACTCAGATCAAGAAATAAAAAGCTACAGGCCCCTGGAAGTCCCTCAAGTGCCTCTTCTCATCACCATTCCCCAAAGAATAACCACTGTCCCCACTTCTGAGAACATGACATCATGAATTCTGACATCAGGGCTCTGGCATCATGGCTCTTGACCTCATGACATCGTAACTTCCTACATCACGACATCATAACTTCCTACATAACGACATTGTAACTTCCTACATCATAACTTCTGACATCACGACATCGTAACTTCTGACATCATGACTTCTGACATCAGGTCTTGAGGCATCATGGCTTCTGGCACCATAACCTCTGAGATCAGAGCTTTGGCATTATGACATTATAACATCTTTTTTTTTTTTTTTTTTTTTTTTTGAGACAGAATCTGGCTCTGTCGCCCAGGCTGGAGTGCAGTGGCGCGATCTCGGCTCACTGCAAGCTCCGCCTCCCAGATTCACGCCATTCTCCTGCCTCAGCCTCCCGAGTAGCTGGGACTACAGGCGCCCGCCACTGTGCCCGGCTGATTTTTTTGTATTTTTAGTAGAGATGGGGTTTCACTGTGTTAGCCAGGATGGTCTTGATCTCCTGACCTCGTGATCCGCCCGTCTCGGCCTCCCAAAGTGCTGGGATTACAGGCGTGAGCCGCCACGCCCGGCCTCCATGATCTGTTTTTAATGGAATCACTTGGTGTGCATTCTTTGGCGTCTGATTTCTTTCACTCAACATTGTGTTTGTGAGATTCATTCATTCTTCTCATTTACTCCCATTGTTGTATTTGATGGTGTGACCAGACCACGGTTTATCCATTGGTGGACATGTGGGTTGTTTCCAGTTTGGAGACTGTCATGAATAGTGTCACTCTGCGTATTGCACATGCCTTTTGGTGAACTTGTTTGTGGATTTTTCTTGGGTATATACCTAGGAGCAGAATTGTTGAGTCATAGGCTAGGCGTACATTTAGCTTTAACAGATATGAAGAGACAATTTTCCCAAATCATTCTACAGCCTCACAGTTCACATCCACTCTGACCAACAGAAGCAGTTTTGGTTGATCCACATCTCTGCCACCACCTGCTATTCTCAATCTTCTACCTGTAGTCATTCCATTCATTGTGCATTATATTAATTTTCCTAGTTATTATCTGATTCACAGCAAATGCTTAGCTTACTAATTATTAGGTTTTCTGACATTCTAATTTTTGCATTGAAGTCACAAATTTCCATCCAGTTACGTCCTTACCTGTATCCCTTCTGTACCCCTGAGTGCAAGCTCTGGGCCGGGCTCTGCCTGGGAGAGCTTCCCTGGGTGCCTGGAGACCCTTGTCCCCCCAGAAACTGGGTCTTAGATCTGACAAGGAAGTGTGTCCCTCCCTGGGCCCAGCTCCCACTATAAAAGACGCAGGTGCCCATTCTGCCAGGGGCAGAGGGTTCCTCCCCGAGCCTGGGCTCCTGTGGGAGCCTGGGGACCCCTCTAACCTGCCACCATCCAGGGACACATCCCAACTCCACTGCCTGGCTCATGTGTCTGAGGAAGGGAAACACTCTCGTTTCGAGGATCGCAGGGTCCACCCTGTTCTTGCTCTAGACTGGGAGTGGGTGAACTGCCGAGACACCGGCCCCAGCTCTGCTCCTCAGCTAATCCACCCTCCCTGGACGTGTCCACCCTCTGCTGCCAAAACGCACAATAGCAGCACAGCCTCTCTGTGGCACAGGGCTGACAAGATCCAGTGATGGGGACTCCCCCCAAGAGGAGTGGGCACCTGGGTGTGTGCCGCTGCAGGTCGTCCGTCTGGGTGGGCGACTGGGTCTCCTCACCCAGCCCTGCTGAATCTGTGGATGTTGATCCTTTAGAAAGTGGCCGGTCCAAAGGGTAGTTGGTGACACAGCTCCAGACCCAGAGTCCCTCACACGACCCACACAGAGTGGCCCTGGGCAGAGAGCTCTTCCCTGGGGCCACCCAAGGGCACTGCCTTCATCTGGGGCTGGGGGAGACCATTCATTGGAGTTGTTTTCTGGGCACCTCCGGAGTTTGTCATATTTTAAGATGATATGAGAAGATCTAATTTATTGTACATATTTTATTTTTATCACAGATCACTGGTTGAACACATCTTTCTCTAGAGATATGTGATACCATTAACCCCTGCTGCAAACACATACAATTATTTCATAAATTCCAATTCTTTCAAGAGTAATTTATGTTTTCCCTGATATAATTGATGATTGCAGTTGTGCCACATGTTTTCAGTGATCATAGCTTCACACTGTGGTTTAATTTCTGACAGGGAATGCCCCTCCTAATATTCTTCTCTTAAAATGGCTCGTGCTTCTTCAAGCTCAGTTGCTTTCCAGATAAGCTTTTGAATCCCATTAGCATGTTTTAAGAGGGCCAAAAATAATTTTGTTTCGACTTTATAAGTTCTTAAGTCAGGGGAGGATTAGTCTATTTGCTCATCAGCCTTTGTCTCCAGGGTGATGACATGTCTCTACACAGGTAAATTGTCTTAACCTCAGCAAGCCTGGGACCTTTCCCCACATGAAGCCTCTGCTTTAATACTGTTCTTAATACAGTTCCCGGCTAAGTTCATGTGTGGGTTGTTAGTATTGAGAACAGAACTAAGTTTGTCCGTATTACATTTTCTAATTTGTTACTGACTTTGTAGAGGAAATGTGTTCACTTTATGCATTTATGTTGTCATTGTTTTTACCGTGTATTTCCTCTTCCTGTCGTATTGCAGTGCGACCCGCTGGGTGCATCACTGAAGGAGATGAGACCAGCCTAGCCCTAGTGACTGCACAAGGCAAGAGGCTCCCCTCGATGTAACAGCAGGTGTTGGGAGGGTCTCCTCTCAGTCCCATTTGGGAGGACTAGGGCTGACCAACTGTGTACGTTTGTGCAGTCCAAGCTGTATTTCCAGCACTGCGCAGATTCACTGGGGTCGAAGGGCACGTCCCACCTCTCTGCCTAACCTCCTGGCTGTGTGGCCTTGTGGGAGGCAGGCATGGGTCTTTTCCAGCCACAGACACCACTCCCACTGCCCTTCTAGCCTGGCCCTGAATCCTAGGAATTTCACTCACAGCCAAGCATCTGGGATCCTTGGTCCAGGGTGAGTGCAGCAAGATGGGAAAGGGCACAGCCTGGCAGCCTCGGGAGAGAGCTGACCCGGAAAACCTGCCGGTGGCCTCGGAGGAGGGTGTTCCTCGGAGGGCAGGGTCGTCCTCTGATGCCGTGCTCAGCCCTGACCCTCCCATGACCCACCTGCTCTGTGCTCACTGGAAATTCCCCAAAATGCATCTCCGTGGGGCTCAACTCAGTTAAAAGGGAGCAAGTGAGCATCATGCAGATGGAAGCCTGACACAAACACCTCCCTCCGTTGGCCGTGCTTGGCCGGGGTGAGGACAGTGCTGAAAGCTCAGGGAAGGCAGAGCCCTGGACGACCACCCTTGCTCCTGTCTCAGGACACAGAGCCCTGGACGACCACCCTTGCTCCTGTCTCAGGACACAGAGCCCTGGACGACCACCCTTGCTCCTGTCTCAGGACACAGAGCCATGGACGACCACCCTTGCTCCTGTCTCAGGACACAGAGCCATGGACGACCACCCTTGCTCCTGTCTCAGGACACAGAGCCCTGGACGACCACCCTTGCTCCTGTCTCAGGACACAGAGCCCTGGACGACCACCCTTGCTCCTGTCTCAGGACACAGAGCCCTGGACGACCACCCTTGCTCCTGTCTCAGGACACAGAGCCCTGGATTGTCTTAGCCAGTGGTCTTTCCTTGCACAGGAAACAGGCCATGCAGAGACCCTGGCAGGCCACTGCTCCTCCCTGGCCTGGGTTGCAAGGGACAGGGGCCCTTGAGGATGGCATTCCTCCTATGGCCCTCGGCCTCGGACCCCCAGGGAGCTGTCTCCTGGCACTTCTTGGCAAGTCCACCCCATGGCCATCTGTGTTGGCTCAAGGCTTTCTTTCCCGTCGTTCTTCACATCTGGTGGCCAGGAGTTCTTCCCTGAAGATCTGGACCTGCCCATAGACCTGGGCTGGATTACAAAAAAAGAGGAAGCTGGCAAAATCCGCAGTGTGTCTTTTCCTCCAAGGACATTTAAAAAATACATGTGGGAAAAATCAGAGTTTCAAAAATGGCAAGTGTTATGAAATAAAGTGCACACGTCCTCTTTTCTGCACGAAACAGAAA
Source organism: Homo sapiens (assembly GCF_000001405.40). NCBI lineage: Eukaryota > Metazoa > Chordata > Mammalia > Primates > Hominidae > Homo > Homo sapiens. Next base: position 85,756 of record NT_187558.1, read on the forward strand.
GCACGCGGTTATTTTCAGCTCCCGGAGCTCCACTGGGAATAGGGTGGTAGAGTTGCCAATGTGTACACAGAAGGGTTCTTTTTTTATCAGCTGCTGAAGGCTCCAAGGATGGAGTGCGATTCTAAAGGGTGCATTAAGGCAAACATTGAGCTAACAGAGCGAAGGCTGCCAGCCAGCGGCGGAGATGGGCGTCCCTGGAACGCCTCCGCTTCCCCGGCTGCCCCGCCGCACTCCCAGGCTCCGCTGCCTCATGCACAAGGTCAGGATGCTGATGGGAAGACCCTGGGTTCCTAAGGAGGATTTGATGAGAAAACGCACAGGAGGTGCCAGCACACTGCCTGCCACACTCAACAAAGGCCATTGTTATTATTGTTGCTGCTATCATTAGTGTTCGTCTGCAGATTCCAGGGTGACATCACTTGACTCATTTTTTAACTGTGTATTTTGAGATAATTTTAGGCTTACAGAAAAGTTACAAAAGTTGCAAAAGTTACTTCTCCAGGGACCAACAGCCTGGAGGAGACCCTGTTCCTTGTGGAAACTGGCCGCACACCTCCTGCCTTGCACAAGATGTCAGGGAAGGGCGGTGGCTTTGGAGGCTTCAGGGAGTGAATGTCGACGGGGTCTGCAAGAGCTCCCAATGCCCAAGCTGGAGAAATTCTAGGAACAAAATAAATAATCGTAGCCCAGATGCTCCTGGACTGGTGGGGCCACATCCTGACAACCCATCGTAAGTTTAATATACCCCAGGGACATGGATGAAGCTGGAAACCATCATTCTGAGCAAACTATCGCAAGGACAGAAAACCAAACACCGCATGTTCTCACTCATAGGTGGGAACTGAACAATGAGAACACTTGGACACAGGAAGGGGAACATCATACACCAGGGCCTGTTGTGGGGTGGGGAGAGGGGAGGGATAGCATTAGGAGATATACCTAATGTAAATGATGAGTTAACGGGTGCAGCACACCAACATGGCACATGTATACATATGTAACAAACCTGCACGTTGTGCACATGTACCCTAGAACTTAAAAGTATAATAATAGAAAAAAAATACCCCAGGTCAAAATGCATTTAATGCACCTCATCTTCCGGGCATCATAGCTGAGCCCTCTCACCTCAGACATGCTCAGAGCGTGGATATGAGGCTGGCATTGGTAAAATCATCTCACACAGCTCACAGCTGCCTGAAGATGCTCACTCACCAGCTGCCAGCATTTCTGGGGCGGTCCTGAGAGGGTCTGCAGCTGGCGCACGAGGTGAACACAATGCTAAGGACAAAATTACACAAGGAATGTGCAAGAGTTCCACTGTTCACAGTGGGAATCACCTAATTCACACACAACCAGCTTCACAAAATGAGCTCCAGGCGGCCGGCTGGAGGGACGCGGAGGCCAGCAGGTGGAAGCCAGTGTTTAAAGCCACAGGTAGACGCGGCCTCAGCACCTTCCCGTTTGTGCCGGCCCAGAGGCACTGCCTGAGCACACCACCTGGGGAGGCTGCAGGTCTAAGCAGCCTGAAAGTGACCCTCACCAGGCCCTGAAGCCACCACTGGGTCGGGGGCCCAGCCTTCCTTCCAGTGCAGGGGCCCCACCCCAGCCGACTGCAGACTCAGGGTGCAAGCTTCCTCTGCTTGGGTACTCCTCGAGGTCCTCCTGGGCGTCCTGAGCTCCTCTGTGTGCATTTCCTATGCTGTTCACAGTCCTACTGCATGGCCCAGGAGGGAAAGGGAGGGGAGGGGAGGAGGAGAAGGGACTCTCCTTGCTCCCAAACTGCTGAACACTCAGCATCTGCCTCCTTTCTCAGCCAAAGGAAGGCCCTCGCCAAACACTCCTGACTATTGCAGTTGCTGGTCACCTACTCCTGTCCCACTCAATGGCTGCCCCCCGTCAGCCACCTGTGGCCCAGTGATCAGCTCACCTCCTGCACACACCATGTGGGCAGCTCACCAAGCCACCCTCCCCACCATTTCCAGGAAGGGCCAGGACTCACAGAAAACAGGCTTGTTTGTGAGCCACGCGGTCACTTACACTTTGCAAAGCGGCGTGGGCGCTTCTATTCTGAAGCATCCGCCGAGGCTTGGAACACACCCAGCCGGCAGCTGTCTGCTCCACTCGCTCCTCTGTTTTGGGGAAGGGCCTCTGGCAGAGGGAGTATGAGGCCTGTGGTTCTGACGGGAGGAACAAGGGTGTCTGAGGGACCAGGGAGGAGGGTGGGAGACTGTCAGGGGGACTTGCAGACCACAGTATTCATTTCTTACAGCCCCCGGACAATGTGGCAGCTTGAACAACACCCATGTATTATCACAGTCGGAGAGGGTTGGCTCAGCGGGGTACTCTGCTCTCATAGGCCAAAGTCAAGGTGCCAGTGGGCCGTGCTCTTGTCTGGGGCTCGAGGAAAGAACATGCTTCAGGCTCACTGGGGGCTAGAGGACTTCTCCCTGTGGCTGAGGGACAGAGGCCCCACTCCCCTGTGGGCTGTCAGCTCAAGGCTGGCTGCATCCGCCTTCTCAAAGCCAGCAAGGGCACCCTGAGTCCTCCTCACGCCGAGTCCTCTCTGCCACCCTCTTCCGCCTGCATCCAGAGGACGCTCTCTGCTGTCAGGGCTCCCCCAGAAACCAGGATAACCTCCCTCGTTTAAGGCCAACTGTCCAGAGAACAATGTGCCTCAGGGCGGCCTCTCATCACACTCAAGCTTCTGGGGGTGAGTGCGGGACATCCTTGGGGGCCTCCATAGCCATCGTGAAGGTGGCTTTTCCTGACCTAGCTGGATGGGGACCTGCTGGAGAGACGGGAGCTGAGAGGGGTCTGAGCTGACATGTATTTTTGGAAGAAACCTCTGGCTGCTGTGTTGAGACTAGACTGGATATAGATACAGCTCATGTATATTGTTCATTCACAGAGCACTTTCACCAAACACCCACATTCCAGCATTCCTGAGTGTGGCCTGCTACCTCAGAACAGAAAGCGGGAGAAGGAGAGCTATATCATCATCTTTCTGTCTATCTATCCATCTATCATCTATCTATCATCTATCATCTATCATCTATCTATCTACCTATCTACCTATCATCTATCACCTATCTATCTATCTAACCTATCTACCTATCATCTATCATCTATCTGTCTCTGTCTCTATCATCTATCATCTATCTATCTATCATCTATCTATCTGTCTCTATCTATCTATCATCTATCTGTCTCTATCTGTCTCTATCATCTATCTATCTGTCGCTATCTATCATCTATCTATCTATCATCTATCACCTATCCTCTATCATCTATCATCCATCTATCTATCATCTATCTGTCTCTATCATCTATCATATCTATCTATCTATCTATCTATCTATCTATCTATCTATCTATCATCTATCTATGTGTCTCTGTCTATCTATCTATCCTTCTGTCTATCTATCCACGTGCCTTTCTGTCTGTAGACTGGAGGTGGGTGGGAGGGGCATGGCAGCCATACAAAACAGGTACAGAAGTCACAGGTGACAGTGGCTCCATCAGAGTGGTGATGGTGGAGGTAAGAAATGGTTGTGTCTGGAAAGATTTTTAGACCAGCGCTTCCCAAAAGCCCTCTCCCCGCATCCCCCACCCCCACCACCTCTGACACCTAGCTTTTTCTTCCATAAGAGTCTGGCTTAGCTTAAACTTCAGGGTCATTCTGATTTACAATACGGCAAAATCCTGTAAGCAAAGATGCACAAAGACTGCAGGCCTGAAATCAGTGTGAAAAGAGAGTATAAAGGGAACACGTGCAGTAAAGTATTTCAACACATTTACTCTGTGCACACGTCTGCAGCCTCAGCCGCGCTTCTGACCTCAGGTCCAGCCACACATCCCGCCCCCGAGGGAAGGATTCAGACCTGGAGCCCTTTTTCTTGAGGAGCTGGGCAGTGGTGGGCTGGACAGCAGAAGGAAGTCCAGAAGCCAGATCTGCACAACGGGTGGGGGTCGGGGGTTAGGGGTGGGGGTGAGGGTGGGGGTCGGGGGTTAGGGGTGGGGGTGAGGGTGGGGGTCGGGGGTTAGGGGTGGGGGTGAGGGTGGGGGTGGGGGTGGGGGGTGGTCCGCAAGCCCAGGGAAGCAGGAGTGGGGTTAGGCACGGAGATAGGGAAGAAACGGGACAAATTCAGAGTGATGCTCTGTTTATGTGTTATTTATTTATGTATTTATTTTGAGCTACCACAGATCACAAAGAAAACAGCCGATGATGGCTCATGAGGGTGTCTCAGGGAGGCCGTCGGGGCCCCTGCACCTTGAGTTGTTCTAAGGTAGGGAGGAGGGAAAGCGATCAGCCTGCTGGTCCCTTTCCATTGCTCAAGACCCTGCCAAGCAGCCCCTGGCCTTTGCCCAAAGTGGAGACGATGGAGGGCTCAGGACGACGGGGCGAGGTGCTCAGTGCAGAGGAGGGAGCCTGCACCCACTGGGGTAGAGCTGATGGCCTGAGCATATGCGGCACCCACGGGACAGAATGCTCTTCCCCCATCCTTGCCCAGGTTGCTGGAGCTGACACCCAGGTGAACGCGGCTGGGACGAAACAGTGGTGAGCGGCCACTAAGCTTCTGTCCCAGTCTCCGTCAGCTGACCCCACCGAGAGCACACACTTACCCAGGAGAGAATCACACCCGGCCCTTCTGAGTGCTGTGGCGCCTTCAGACTTTATTCGTAGCAGATGCCGTGAGGACTCTGCCCACATTTCTCTGTATCCACTGACCATTTTTATGCCCCCGAGCCCCAGGTCTCTCAGTCCCAGCATCCGGCTTCTGAATCTTGCAGGCCCCCGAGCCCCAGGTCTCTCAGTCCCAGCATCCGGCTTCTGAATCTTGCAGGGGCTGCCCTCTGGCCACAGGAACCTCTTCCCTGGGGTTCGCTGAGCTCCTGGAGGGCTACGCTGTCTGGGAATTTATAACCCTCAGACAGTGAATGACAGATAAGACATAGAGCACCTGAGCACCCCCCAAACCAAAGGGCACACCTGTGAGCAGTGACAAGCAGCCTCCCAGTTCCTCCATGAGATGGAGCCGGAGTGACCCCCACAGCGTGCGGCCTCCTCCCCACCCAGTACCACCCCCCATTCCCACAAAGGGGTCTTCCAGGGAACACATCATTTATTTATACTGCTTCCACACAAATCCTCGTCTTGGGTTTGCTTCTAGAACCCCAGACTGAGATACCAACCCACAATCACGCCAGTGTTCAAATTCCATTCCCACCCAGGTGCCGAGGACGGCCAGGTGAGCAGCAGAGGACGATGACAGGAATTCTGAGTCCGCCTCAGTGAACAAAGCGGCGTGTGGCACACGGTCATGCCACGAGCCTGAGAGCAGATTGCAAAGCAAAGCGTGTAGTGCAATCCAACTTTTGGAAAGAAAAATAAATCCTTTATATATGACGGTGTAATAAAGAATTGAACCTTGCCCAGAGAGACCTGGCCTCTTCCCCCAGCTTCTGAGAGGTGGTCTCTAAGCCACATGGGACGGTCTTGGTTTGCCTGGGCCTTTGGACCACACCAGGAGGCCTAAAGTGTGATTCAGGTAGGGGTTGCGATGAGCTCACCCTCGAGTGAGCTGGAGACCTCCATCCGCATGGGCAGTCAACCATGGGGCCCCAGCAAAGGCTCTGGGACACTAAGCTCGGGGGATCCCACCTGGATGCCCCAAGTGACACTGCCCACAGCTCTGTGGGGAAGGACCCTCTGCAGGTGGGAACTTCCTGGACTCCGGCCTGAGCGCCTTTCCCTGGGTTGATAGTCATCTGTGTCCTACCCTTGTGCTAAGTCATGACCATGAGTATATCAGCTTTCAGTGAGTTTTTCTAGCGAATTATCAAAACTGAGGGTGGTCTTGGAGACCCCTACCCTTGTAACTGGTGAAGAATTGAGGACAGTTTTGTAGATTATGGTTCCCTCTAGCCCTGCAATGATGTTGACTGTAAGTACATTAAAGTATTTGTTAGACACTGGAAAACGATATGCAAAATGTAGGAAGTGGATGCCTCTGGGCTGTAGGATCATGCATAAGAGTGTATTCTTGTGTTTTCTATTTATTTTGTGCAAGACACGGTGATTACATACAGTGGGAGCTCCCTCAACCAACCTCTGCTCCAGCAACTCACATAATCTTGGTCAAAATGGGCTGGATGACTCAGTGAGCACAGGGGGCAAGGAGGCTGCTCTCTGCTGGTCGTGGATTTCGTCAGTTGAGATGTGACCAACCGGGAGACACTCAGGTTTGCTCCAAACCTGTTGATGCCACCTGTGATCCTTACTAGTGTCAGAGGCATTTGAACCAGAGCGACTCCATCTTGAATAGGGGCTGGATGAAATGAGGCTGAGACCTGTGGGCTGTAACCCCAGGAAGTTCAGTGTTCTTAGTCACAGGATGAGTAGGAGGTCCGCACAAGGTACAAGTCACAAAGACCCTGCTGATAAAACAGAATATGGTAACGAAGCTGGCTGAAACCAAGACGGCAACGAAAGTGACCTCTGGTCACCCTCACTCCTCGCTATACACTAATTATAATGCACTAGCATGCTAAGAGACACTCCCACCAGTGCATGACAGTTTACAGATGCCATGGCAATGTCAGGAAGCTACCCCATGTGGTCTAAAAAGGGGAGGAACCCTCAGTTACAGGAATTGCCCACCCCTTTCCCAGCAAAATCTTGAATGATCCACCCCTTGTTTAGCATATCATCAAGAAATAACCATAAGTATATTCAGTCGAGCAGCGGACATCACTGCTTTTCCTACAGAGTAGCCATTCTTTCATTCCTTTACTTTCTTAACAAACTTGCTTTCACTTTATGGACTAGCCCCGAATTCTTTCTTGCACGAGGTTTAAGATCCCCTTCTTGGGGTCTGGATTGAGACCCTGTTCCAGTAACACCATGAAACTTAATTCAACATTATGTAACCTATTACATATCAGTGCAAAATGACAGAAAGTTGTTTCTACATAAACCTAGATAAGTGATTTGGGAAAACAAGGTCAAGGTAACTTGAGGCTGCTTTAAAAATTGCTTTTGAATTAGGTATAGACAAGATGACTCTTAAAAATGAAAACTAATTGGTGAACGTTTGGAGAAATTCTGGTCTTAGATTGTCTTAAAATGTGCCCAACTTCTTGGTCCACTTTAAAAAATATGAAATTGGGTGGCTAGGAAGGAGAGTTAAGCCTGGGGTTTACACTAAAGAAGAAGAAGAACTTCAATCAGCAGACCAATGCTAAATACAAGCTTGTCCCTATATGGAAATATCTAGATTCATGAATGGAGCCAGAAGTGGCCAGATGGTGATGACGACCAGAGGGAGGGTTGGAGGCCTGGGACTGGGGCGTTGGCTAGGAAGGGGTGGGAATATTCATGAATGGAGAAGTGGCCAGATGGTGATGACGACCAGAGGGAGGGTTGGAGGTCCAAGACTGGGGCGTTGGCTAGGAAGGGGTGGGAGGGCCTCTCTGGAGTCACAGAAGCCTCATGCATCTTGACCAGGACGGTGGATGCATGGCTTACATTGGTCACAACTTGTCAACTTGTATGACTGAAAACTGAACATCACATTGAATTGGACTCAAAGGCAAGACCTGAGGCAAAATTCATGTAAGGAGGGAGTTTGGGCGAAGCTTGAGGACTGCTGCCCGGAAGCGTAGATTCAAGTTGCCCTGAATACACCTCCTATTAGCAGCTGTTACAGGTGGGTTTTTCAAGGGAAAGAAGAGGCTGTTCCAAGTTGTTGACCAAGGATTTATGTTAAAGTAACATAATCTATTGCTTGGCTCTATATTGTTAAGCCGTAGGGTGTGAGTTGCAGTGTCTGCTGCTGCACTAGGAGGTTAACCTGAGGCAACAGCCAGCGTTTCAAGAGACGAATACACAGCTCCAAGGCGGGGAGTGGGAAGTCACTGCCGCCTCACTTGACTGCCTCTCTGGGCCTGATCGTTTAAAAGGACTTGCATCATCCCTCAGCACAATTTCTTTCCTTTTCTCAATTGTATGAAAATTATACCTCAATAAGTTTACTATAGAAATTAATGAGTAAATATGTATAAGTTTTCAAGTTAAAAATATATGTAAAATATGTTTGCTCACTTTTTTAACCTATCTTCATTGGTTTTAAAAATTAACAAACCATGATGGCTTTGGAAACATGTTCTTCCATTTGTTACTTTCATAATGAAAGAAGAAATGTATTTTAAATAACATTTAAATTTAATTTTTTCATTATCATCTGGGAAGCCCCAGCCCTTTATGAAAGGAAAACAATGTCCACTTTAGAGTTAAACTTGCTGATGGAAAAACCAGACTCCGTAGAATATTTTAAAGAGGTTATTTCTGAGCCAACAGGGGCAACCACAGCCTGGGAGACAGGCTCCAAGGAGTCCTGAGAAAGGACCTGAGGTCGGGTTGCAGTTTTTTTTTAATTTTTTGAGATGGAGTCTCGCTGTGTCACCAGGCTGGAGTGCAGTGGCGCGATCTCGGCTCACTGCAACCTCCGCCTCCCGGGTTCAAGAGATTCTCCTGCCTCAGTCTCCCGAGTAGCTGGGACTACAGGTGCCCGCCACCACGCCCGGCTAATTTTTGTATTTTTAGTAGAGACAGGGTTTCACCGTGTTGGCCAGGATGGTCTCGATCTCTTGACCTGGTGATCCACCTGCCTCGGCCTCCCAAAGTGCTGGGATTACAGGCGTGAGTCACCGCGCCCGGCCGCAGTTTGGTTTTAACATTTCAGGGAGGCAGGAGTTACAGGCAAAGACATACAGCCGTGCACAGAAGGTCGGCATTGGTTTGACCTGAAAGGGAGGGACATCTCAGAGCTGGGGCTTACAGGACATCGGTGGATTCAGAGATTCTTTAATTTGCATTTGGTTGGAGGAGGAAGGTTCTGTCTAAAATTTGGAAGCTGTGTAGCAAGATGATGACCTGCAGGTGTGACTTTACCCTTGCCTGCATGGGTCCTGTTTATAATTTGGTATCTTATTGCCACAAAGAGTCTGTCTGTCAGTCCTAAGATCTCCATGACCTCTAATGCTGGTCCGTGGTTGCATCTAAGCTGCAAAAGGGAAGGAGTATAATGAAGCGTGGCGGGCCTCCCTTCCCATCGAGGCTGGGAACTCAGCTTTTCAGGTTTCTCTGGGGCCCCTTTCAGTTGTTTAGGGGGCTTAGGGTTTTGTTTAGCTTACCAACTTTTCCTATTAGAAATTTAGCTGAAGTTGAGGTCACATAAGTCTTCTGGAGCATTCCCTAACACAGAAAATGCCCCGCCCGTTAGAATTCTAACAGGACAGAGAAAGTGGAGGCGAGGAGCCCACCCTCTCCAACTCCTGCTCTTACCGGGGCCCCAAGACCCAGAGGAGGGGCCTGCCTGGGCCCTGGGGAGGGCACCCAGCCTGTGCTCCCTGGAAGGGTGGGTTACTCCAGGCAGGCCACTCCTGCTGGCATGGCGATGATTCAGTTTCAGCCCTGCACCTGCAGCCTCTGGTTGCAGCCGGTCTGCAGTGTTTCTCTTTGTTCCCCCTTCCATCTTCCTCCCACCTTATGTTCCCATGCTTCCCAGCAGGAGGGGAGGCCCAATTTGCGTTTCCTTTTCTGTAATAAAGCCTGCTGATGGGTGATTGCAGCTTTCTCTCACTGCCAGGGAGGAACTGGGGTAGGCTCCAGGCAGCCAGAGGCACCACTGTGCTTCCGTGGGTTTCCCCGGGGCACCTTCAAGTTCCAGTGTGAGTGCTGTTGAGATTCCGGGCGTCCAGTGCACACACGGGAGACGGCCATTGCCTCCCCTCCAGCCCCAGCCGCGGTGCACAGGGCGAAGGCTGTGTGGGTGAAGGCTATTTGTGAGTGAGGCCGGGGAATGAGGGGCAGTTGGCTGCTGCTCTGGAGGCCTGGGCGGCCTTGGTGTCTGGGAGCCTCGGCCAGGACACTGGCCGGTGGGGCCCTCGTGGCCCTAGCTGACCTTGACTTACTGCAGCTGGAGCGAAGTCTCCCACAGGTCCTCCATCCTGCAGGGATTCGGGCATGACTAGGGGTCAGGTGAATCTGATGGACAGCCCTGCTGCATGAGTTCAGGCTGGGGCACTCCTGCAGGAGACTGAGCGCCCAGCACTGTCCATGAGGAGGGGGATTCTGAGCACTCACTGTGGCTGTGCCCCCGACTCAGCTGCAGCCTGGAGGGAGTGTCCAGCCCCAGGGAAGGCAGAAAGCCCTTGACAAACCCTGGTGCTCTGGCAGCCTGGTGGGCTGACAGGCAGCCCTGTCCCCATCCCTCCGCACGTCTCAGGCATGGCCTGCACGGGTCTCCTCGCAGGTGCCCCCACACCCCACCATGCACGCCTGGCCATCTCCTAGAGAAAGGCCTCCCAGGCTGCTCAGGAGTGGCCAGGCTCCTCCTGCCCTCCTTCTCTTTGAGTGCTGAGCATGGGAGGCAGGTGGGGGGCCAAGGTCTTTGAGTGCTGAGCATGGGAGGCAGGTGGGGGGCCAAGGTCTTTGAGTGCTGAGCATGGGAGGCAGGTGGGGGGCCAAGGTCTTTGAGTGCTGAGCATGGGAAGCAGGTGGGGGGGCCAAGGTCTTTGAGTGCTGAGCATGGGAGGCAGGTTGGGGGCCAAGGTCTGAGCCTTTTGGAAGCACCCATCATCTGGTTCTCAAGTCAACTCTGATTTTCACGTCACTGGTGATTACTTCGTTTTAAAAGGTAGCCTCCTGTTTTGGAGGTGTGAACTAAAAGCATAACCCTGAATCCCCCCCTCCACTGACTGAATGACCCTTCTCGGTCAAGGGGACCCAGAGAAACCTGAAAAGCTGAGTTCCAGGCCCTGACAGGAAGGGGGTCAGACATGCCTCGTCATACTCCCTCCCTTTGGGAGTTTAGACACAACTGACCAGCAGTAATGTTAAAACGGAGATCTTAAGACTGACAAAGCAGACTCTTGGTGGCAATAGGATACCGAATTATAACAGGACCCGAGGCCGCACAAGGCAGGGGTGGGTCCCACCTGCAGGCTGAGCAGGACCTGAGGCTGCACCTGTAGGCTACAGATCCTGTAGCAGGATCTTAACTTAAACGTTCCAAGTTTTAGACAGAGCCTTGCTCCTCTCACCAACAGGAACTCAAAGAATCTCTGGATCCATCTATATCCTGTAAGCCCCCTTCAAGGTGTCCCACCTCCAAAGGCCGAGCCAGTGTGGACCTGCCATGCATGGCTGTATGTCTTTGCCTATAACTCCTGCCTCCCTGAGATGTCAAAACCAAACTGCAATCCGATCTCCTCAGGCACACGTTCTCAGGACTCGCTGGGACCGTGTCTGTCTGGCTGTGTCACTCACTGGCTCAGAAGAAACCTCTTTAAAATATTTTACAGAGTTTGGTTTTTCCATCAACAGAGAAAAGACTTGGAATATGCAGGAAAGACTTGATCAATTTCAGGTGGTGGGCAGAATGCTTGTCACAGACGCACCCACTGCAAGTCTGCACAGCTGAGTGGAAGGAGCTGGTGCCTGACACTGTGACCCGAACTCAAAGGGCCACTCAGGCAGCACAGGCTGGTTATCAAGGGCGTCACTCCACCACCTCCAAAGCAAAAGGGACGTGTGGAGGACTGTGCTGCATTTTGTCTCAGTATTCATCAGCCTGGAGATAGAAATGTGTTCCTGTCGGGGGCGAGCCTTCCCTGTTGGACGTGGGTTTCTGAGGTTGTGTTCCCATTGGGGGTCAGCCTTCCATGTTGGAAGTGGGTTTCTGAAGTTGTGTTCCCGTTGGGGGTGAGCCTTCCATGTTGGAAGTGGGTTTCTGAGGTTGTGTTCCTGTCGGGGGTGAGCCTTCCATGTTGGAAGTGGGTTTCTGAAGTTGTGTTCCCGTTGGGGGTGAGCCTTCCATGTTGGAAGTGGGTTTCTGAGGTTGTGTTCCTGTCGGGGGTGAGCCTTCCCCGTTGGAGGTGGGTTTCTGAGGTTGTGTTCCTGTCGGGGATGAGCCTTCCCTATTGGACATATGGGTTTCTGAGGTTGTCTTCCTGTCGGGGGTGAGCCTTCCCCGTTGGAAGTGGGTTTCTGAGGTTGTGTTCCTGTCGGGGGCGAGCCTTCCCCATTGGAAGTGTGTTTCTGAGATTGTGTTCCTGTCGGGGATGAGCCTTCCCCATTGGACGTGGGTTTCTGAGGTTGTCTTCCTGTTGGGGGTGAGCCTTCCCCATTGGAAGTGGGTTTCTGAGGTTGTGTTCCTGTCGGGGGCGAGCCTTCCCTGTTGGAAGTGGGTTTCTGAAGTTTGCTGTTGGAAGCAGAGCTTGCGTCCATGCTCACAGCAGCACCAGCCGCAATCAGTCACTGAGGTCTGTGCTGGGTGTGGAAGATGAGAGTGGTACCACATGTTCCTCAATCTGGACTAGAGGTTTGTCTGTGATTAGCGGAGACTGGCCTGCCAAGAGCCAAGGGCGCTGTGTTTGCATGTACAGCAGGCGTCTGATACGGTTCTGGGGCAGACGCCAGCCAGGCCGAGCAGGCAGCCTCCACTGCTCCGTGCATGGGGTCAGAGTCCACAGCATGGGACCTGGTCCCTGGGCAGGCCTGACAGACATCTGTGAACCAGGAATGGGCATATTCCAGGAGGTCTGGCACAAAGCAAAGTCATTGTAGACTTTGGCAATTGCATTTGTTCCAGATAATACATTTTCTTAGGACCTAAGGCCTCAGAACTTAAAATGAATGTTGTAAAGTTTGAAGCCAAAACAAAATGCAGACAGGCTGTACCCAGCAATTCCTGACTCTGCAATCTGGGCCTAATTCAAGTACTCATCTCCATGGCCTGCCAAAACCCTCCCACCGGAGCTCACCCTGTGGTCCAGTGCTCAGCACCATTCATACCTATGTTCGGGGACAGAAGCCACTCTGGGGACTAGGAAGAAAACACGTAAAGGAATTGAGCTTAAAATAAAAAGAAATTCGGTATATTTCATACCCACTAGCAATATGCCTTTAGAAAGAGACAGGCTGGCAACTGCACGTTGGGAAGGACGCACAGTGACTAGAACTCTCGTTCCCTACTGCTGGGAGTGCAAAACGGAACAGCCACTCTCCCGACTGCCCAGCGACCACACTCCCGGGTGTTTACCCAAGAGAAATAAAAATCGTGTCTGTAAAAGAATGTCTATCAGCCTTATTGATAACGTCTCCAAACCCTGATTACATCAAGTGTCCGACCGCAGGAGGACGGACGAGAACGGGTGGCCCTTCACAGAACAGGCTAATTCTCAGCATGTGGGAGCACTCGTGCGTGGAAGGCCAGGCGTGTGACACGTGTGAGCATAGCGTGGGCAGGACGCACGTGAGGGCAGTGGCGGCTTCAAGCACAAATCCTAGGGACTGGGTGGGTCCTTGGAGCAGCAGGCCTGGGTGAGCCTTAGTGGACTCCTCTGTGGCCTGTAGGGGGGTCTCTGCCCTCATCACACCCAAGGAGACCAGGAGACCCGCACAGGTGCAGGTTCTCCTCAGTTGTCTAGTGGAGGACTTCAGATTGGAAAGAAACTCTCAGCCTGGCAGCCTCACAGTACTGAGGAGGCCACAGGCCCAGGAAGGGCCTCACTATTGGGCCCCACGCTGCCGGCTCCTGGTGACCTGCGTCCCAGTACCTGGTCTGGTTTCTTTTCCCAGACTTTGGAAGGTCCCCGTTGTCTGCAGGGGGTCCCAGCCCTGCCAGGGGAAACCCCCCAAATCCGAAGGCAAGGGAACGCCCAGGAGAGGGAACCTGCTGTCCACGCTGCAGAAAGGCCCGCAGTTCTCCTGTCTTCACAAGATGCCTGACCCCGGCTGAGTCACCTGAAATCTTTCCAAAGCACCCTCAGCACACATTAGGGCACTTCTCCCTGTATTTTGGTATCAACCTATTTCCCCTACCCTGCCTCAGTCCTATTGCTTCTTTGTGAACTTTGCTTAGAGAATCTTCTCCTGAAGTCTGCAGAGGAAACTGGGGCGCCCTCAGATGCTGTGTTCACACTGTGTGTGGACACACAAGCATCCCCTTGGCCACCCCCAGGCAGGCCCTGCAAGTCGGAGGCCTGAGGGGAGAACCAGTGTCCCCGAGACACTCTTGCTGGTCGGAGACGCCTGAGTGCTGTGACCAGGCCACACACAGAGACTGGCGCTGCAGCCCCTGGAGGGGAGGCTTCAATCTTCACCCAAAGCAGCCATCAGTGGGACTCACCCTGGGCTGGCCTGACCCAGCACAAAACTATAGTGTCGAAGAAATACAGGAAATGAAAAGAAACCTAGAATGAACTGAAACCAAAATGGGGGGAAGATGGAAATATTAACTACCCAGTATGTAAAACTGGTTTTCACACTTTTTAACGTTTTATACATGGCACTGCCTGTTACCCAGGCCCCGACTCGGCCCCTCCCTGGCCTGCTGCCTGCGTTGCTCCTGCCCGTCATTCCCTCCCCTCAGCCTGCTTTTCCTCCAAAGCTCTAGCTAATACCTGAAATGACAGCATGGATTTGCTTATTTATTTATTGGGCTGCCCCTCATACATACGAGCTGCAAGAGGGCAGGGTCGAAGCCTGTCTTGTTACAGGGCCCGTGGTGGAGCTGTACAAGTCACACCCTGCCGAGGGGAGCACTCTGCTCACCAGCCGCCTGGAGGGGCACACGTTTCCCACCCCATTCACCCAGGGGAGACCTTTTTCCGTTGCGTGCAGAGGTTCTGTGTGAGCTGGAGGCGGCCACGGGCCAGTCACACGGATGGTGGCTCCGGCTGGTGCCCATCCCTTCATATTCAGGAGAGACGGACTGTCTGTGAGACATTCTCACAGGTGCTCTGGGATACACGCCATGGCTGTACCTGGCCTCAAGTGGCTCATCGTGCTTCAGGGGATACAAAATGGATACACAGATAACTCTAATACAAAATAAGGTCTGAGGGCAGGAATTTTGGAATATTGTCATATTTGTTTCTAGAGTTATTTTAGAAAAGCTCATATTGTGGGATTTGGATGAAAATTCATCATTACATTCTTAATAGACCGATTTGGGGGGCAAACTGGAGTCCTTTTGTAACACTGGTTTGGATAAGGGAATTTGAAATTACCTCAAAGAATAAGCAACAGTTCTAATTTTCATTCCATTTAGGTTCAGAAAAAGGATGGAGGTAGAAAGTCCTCTCTCCCAAACACTATGATTGACACTGCAGAGTTCTGCAACTCTCGTACGAGGGAGATTTCATGATGATCTCAGTAACGGATCAGAGAATCAACGACTGACTTCGCTGAGGCACGGTGACGAAAAGGTCAAGGTGGTCTGGTCTGAGTGAAGTCACAGCAAGAACCCTTGTCCAGGGCCATTCTCACCTTTGGGGACAGCTCCTTCCCTGTATGGTCCTCATGTCACTGCACTTTCCTGCCTTGTTTCTTGCTGAAGCCATTATTTCTTAATTCCTTAGTAGATATGCAGAGCGGACATCCCAAAGAAGCTAGAAAAATTGATGAGCAGGGAACAGATCAAATCCTCTCCATCAGTGGAAGGCAATTCACGAGGGAAGAAGGCAAGACCATGGGGTAATTTTTCTGAGACTTGACAATGTTTGCCAAGTAAATAAATCTGCCATTTAACACTACGATAAAAGCTGTCATAGCCAGGGTATTAGTGACTACTTGAGGTTTGAGGACAATGAAGACAGAGTAAGATAAACATCCTTACTATCCAGAAAAAAAAAAACGGAACCAGAAGACAGCGCTTCTTACTATCCACAAAAGAAATGGAACCGCAAGACAGCCCTTCTTATTTTTCTCCATCTTCGATGGTGAGGAAGAATAAAAAAAAAGTTGCTTTTAAAGTATATTCATTAAAATCAAATTCTATTATCATACACACAAAATATTTACGTGAAACCAGCCACAAAAGAATGACAAGGAACGCTACTGATTTGTCCATTCTGGGGGATAAGAACACAGATTCTTATCTCACTCTTGTTAAAAGAAAACTTCAGCTGAATTAAATTTAAAGGAGTTTAATTGAGCAATGAATGATTTGCACATCGGGCAGCCCCCAGAATTACAGCAGATTCAGAGAGACTCCAGTGCAGCCACGTGGTGGAAGATTTATAGACAAAAAAAGGGAAGTGAGGTAGAGAAACACCTGGATTAGTTACAGGTTGGCATTTGCCTTATTTACACACAGTTTGAACATTCAGCAGTGTATGAGTGATTGAAGTACGGCTGCTGGGACTGGCCGAGACTCAGCAATTGTGACAGGTACATACTCCTAATTTAGGTTTTCAATCTTGTCTACCTATTAAGTTAGGCTCAGTTTGTTCACAGGGACTCCAATACAGAAGTACGGAGTCCTTCTCAGGCCATATTTAGTTCGCTTTAACAATTCCCCCTTTTTGGTCATTTTATCAGTTTTGAGAGATTGATCGAAACTTGAGTTATTGATGTCACTGTCACCATTGGTCTTGAAACCCACTAGGAAGCAGAACAGTGAGTTTTGCAAAGGTAGGAACAAGGACTGAGTTGAGGATACCACCTTATGCTGGAAAGTCCTGTTTGCAAGAGAAAAACAAAACCTGGTCTATTCTAGGACCCATGTGTTTCCTTAAAGTCTTAATTCGATTATGTCACATTTAGCACGAATGATGCCATTTTGGTTCGGTTTGGTCTGTTGGGACCTAGTGCTCAGTCCAAAACAATGGCCTCCCATCATTTTGTTTAAAAAATTCCCCCTTTGTCAGGTTGTCACTTAGGCAAGAGTGTGACCAAAACTTAGGATGTTAGCGCCACTCTCCGTTACTATCATTTTGGATTTCCAGTCTCAGCATGTCACTCATCGGTTTCGGTGTCCTCGTGGTCACACATTTCTTTCAGCTCTTGTCATTCCAGTTGAAGAGAGACCATCTGACGTTCTAAAGATGGCTTCATGCAAACATTTAAAACCTTTGAGAGAATACAGTGCACCAGGGAGACTATTCTTATGACTACTGAGAGGGTTAACACCAAGAATTTGGAGTATGCTCCTTAGCCAGGGTCCCCATAAACCAGACCACCTAAACTCAAATAGACCATTCTTTGACTTAACTCAGTGGTCTTTTCGTTAATTCCCTACAACAGACTCTCTATAACACCTGATGTTTTCTCCATAGGCCTTAAGTGCCAGCATCTGCACAGGTACTTTCCTGTTTAGCCAATTCTATTTTTTAGCATAACTTTCACAAGAGAATTTAACATCTGTTGTGTAGCCTTTACAGTAGAATCTGCTACAGAGTCTACCATGAGGGATATGTTTCTAGTCATTGCCTTTTTAATTCCAAACCATGGAAAAAGGACCTAACAAATGATGCCCTTCTAGAAGAGGGAAGGCCTCTTGGCAATGGTCTCTTTAACCCATGCTGTGGGTTAAGAGGAGTGAACCAATGTTCTGCTTCTGAATGATTATGAGGCACCATATGTACCATTGAAGTTTCTCACCTATGATACACTGGGCCTTCATCTTTATCTATCAAGTTATAAGATTATCCATGTATAAAGCTGGCTGCAAAGCCCTTCACAAATAAAAGTATACCCCATAAGTGCACAAAACAGACCCCCTTCTCACTTCTGTTGTTCACAGAGGCGGAAGCAACGGAAAAACATTCAAAGATAAGAGTCTCATGATAGTAAGAAGTCTTGATCCATGATCTTCAGAAAGAGCTGCTCACATCAAGGATGCCATCTTCTTCTGGGGAGAAACTTCCCTGATTAGCTTTACCTTAAGGGTTTCAATGGATGTAGAGTTCCAAGAGTGACCCTGCTCAGTTGTGAGATTATGACCCCAAGGTTCAAGATCCTGATGTTTTGTTGCAGTGATGATGCCAAGGGCAGCTTTTCTCTGATGTTCTCAGAAGATCCCATCTTTGGGTTCTAGATTGTGAAGGGGTTGATTGTCCTCAGTGAACCATAAAAAGCTCTTTACCTGGTGAAAATACACTGATACATAGTAATCTACTGTTATAACATTAGCCCTCCTGCATGGGAAAGCTTTAGTACAACCAGAACACATACATTGAAAATGACAACTGAATGAAACCCCTTTATAAATGTTTAAATGCCTCATCAGGTAGCCAAATGTACATGAAGCTTTGATTGACTTCCCAGGAGTATGGGTTTGACAAACTAAACATTGTTTATAAACTATTTTAACAATCTGTAAGTCACCACACCAACATATTTAATTTGGATCATTTTATCTTTTCCAGGATGAGTCATGGAATGCATAACTTTTAATAACAAAAGCTTTAAGGACTCACGAAGGACAAGGCAGCCATCTTGGTTCTCCATGAGTCCATGCTTAACATCGGACTTATGTCCTCTTGGGTGCCAGTTGTTTCTCCAAATTGGGCACATAGCATGGATAACTGATGGGTTATCACAGGTAATTTGACTTAGACCATGGAGTTCATTCAAATTGTATATCTAAACAATTTCAGTATAGGCTGATTAAGTATGCAAACCTGGTGAAGTATTTCCTCGGTATTCAATTAATTTTTATTCTATTTGGGTTAGCAGTTTTATAAGCCAGTCAGTCTTTTCATTAAAGTTTCAGCAATTCTTACCCAGTCCAAATGATGTGATTTTGAAGTTACTAGAAACCTGTATTCCACAGTGCTTTTCAGGGTCCTCCCCATCCGTTCACGAACCTCCTAAAAGACACCATGTTCTAGGATTTTTGTGTGCTTGTGAAGTTTTCAGAAACTACATCAGCATGAAGCAATTAACTGCGGAAATGACTTTAAATACTCAAAAAGACACAATTGACAAAGAAATTTGGTTATAACAACAACATAACCATAATTATGATCGGTAGCATATACTCAGAAAAATTAGAATTTTAGAAATCCCATACAACTTTGGAACATATATTAATATCATTCACTAAAATATAACCTGAAGAAGGTTAAATTTTTTTTTTGACACTATTCTGTATCGAAAAGTCCAAAATGTTTCTTAAAAAGTAACTAAAAAAACACTGGAGTAATTAAAGGACACTTCCTGTGAAGGGGATGGAAAAATCTCAACAAAAAAGGAGCGCAGAAGAGCCTGGCTAGGCGGGAGAACACGGTCAGGCCCGCAGGAGACGCCGCGGCACCTGCCAGAAAGAGAGCCGCAGGCCAAGACCAGGAGACGCGAGAGAGGTGGGCAGGGCTGCCCGAGAGACCCAGGCGGCCATTGCCCGCCCTGCGTCTGCGCCTGCGCCGGAGCCTCCTCCACACTGCGCCAGCGCCGAGTCCGGCCGCCTCCTCATTGCGCCGGCGCCGGGGCTTCCTCCACACCGCGCCTGCGCCGATGACAACCCGCCTCTACAGGACGCCTGCGCAACGCCATAGTCACCTCATCAGCTCCGTGCACTTACGAGTCTCTCTCTGATCGACCACGTGTTCCTGTCGGCTCACAGAGGCCGCCTCAGGGTCCTCCCCCATTGTCTTCCTCGCACCCTCCACTGTTCCCGGCCCTTCACTCTGCGCTTGCGCAGGAGTCGCTCGCTCCTCTCCTCTCTGCGCCTGCGCAGAGGCCACCTCCTCCCCGCCCGTCCGCTCCCTTGGCGTCGTCTTGGGCCGCGCCCCGACCCCTTCTGTTTACGCATGCGCAGGAGCCGCCCTGCGCGGGTGGGGGGCTGAGCCCCTGTGGCTTCAGGTTTAAAGGCGCGAGCGCCACCCACGCAGGCACAAGGGCTCCTAGTCGTTTTATTTTTAGCGTAAGGTTTTCCTCTTTAACAAGGAAGTAAAAAAAAAAGTTGTGCAATAAATATTAATCGTCCTTATATGTACTCGGGAACGTTCGTCCTTTAGGTTTTCTCCTGGCGCATGGGCGCCGCCAATCATTTCGGGGCTTATTTTGGTTCTAAAGCCCGGGGCAGCCAGGCCTCCCTGCCTGGCCTCGGCGGGGACGCGGGACCTGGGGCCCCGGACCGGGCCTAACCGCCCTGGCCGGTCCCCACTGATGGTGGCGGTCGGTCCTGATCGTCCTGATGGCAGCGACCAGGCTGGACTCGGGCTGTGCAGGGGCGAGGGGAGCAGGGCGGGGTGACGCCCGGAGAGCGGCCTGGAGAGCGCGTGCTTCAGAAGGCGTGGGCACCCTGTCCCCTTTGCAGATGGGGATGCAGGCCCTGGTGGCGGTGGAGGGGAGATGGGGGCAGGGACGTTGCCGGGCAGAGGAAGCTGGGTGAGTGTGCACTTGGTCCCCTTTGCTCCTCCCTGGGACTTTGGGCTCTATAGGGCAGCCTCCGAGGCCCACGTGCACACTCGGTGAACCACAGTCCAGACACAGGCAGGGCGGCAGGCCAGGGAAGGAGAGGCCAGGTGTTGGTGCATGGAGAGGCCAGGTGTTGGCCTGGGGGTGCTAAGTGAACCCCCAAGGTCGCGGAGACAGTAGGGCAACAGCAAAACGAGCTCTGCCGTCCAGGGCGAGGGCCCGGAGTCCTCCCCAGGGGTGGGCTGCAGAGAAGCCCCTGTCCAGGCCCTGCTCACCTGCAAAGTGCTCCCGAGCTCCTGTGCCCCCAGCAGCAATCCCAGCCCCGCTGACACCCAAGCTTGTCACCCGCTGGGTTTCTTGAGGTCTGAGGACCGTGGCTGAGGGTGCATGGGCGCTGGGATGGAGGGGGATGTCCTGTCCCAGTCTGTGCTTATTAATTGTTAAAGAGGGCAAGGCTGCTTTTATTCAAGGTGGGGGGGCTGCTAAAGCGAGATGTTGGGTTAGGGGAGGCAGATCCGGCTCAACTCCAGATAGAAAAAGTGGGAATTGACAGCCCAGGCGTAGGGTCGGGAGTGGAGAGAAAATTACTAAGAGGAAGGGTCAGGGGCAAGGCGGGTTCTAGCTGCATAGACAGGATTTTTGCTGAAAAGGCAGGCAGTGTGGTCACAGACCGAGGGTGGGAGTTGAGGACTTTGATCAGGGACCAAGAGTAGACGATTTTCACTAAACCGACTCAGCAGGATTCTTGCTAAATCGGCCGAAACCGGCCAAGGTCAGGGACTGGTCACAGGGAGGGCTCAGAGGAGCCTGACTCGAGTGTGGTCAAAGGAGAGAGTCTTTGTCATCATTTAAGAGGCGAGAGTGACGTATTAGTGAGAAACGGTGAAGGGATCAAGCTCAGGCCAGCAGCCCCGAGTTTGAGATGAGGACAGGCTGGGTCCAGGAAGGGCTGCAGGAATAGGGGGCACCTGAGCCTGCAGAAAGCGGGGAGCCCAGCCGCCAGAGCAGGCACCCCCAGGCAGACCTCAGTGTGTCCTGCCCTGTGGGAGTGGCAAGGCCAGACCAAGCTGGATGTGAACCAGTCCCAGAACACCGCCTAGAATTTGGATTGTAATTTGTTATCGATGATATTGCTGCTTGGTCTCTCTCCTCTTCCTCCCCACCCCCACCCAAGATGGAGTCTGGCTTTGTCCCCCAGGCTGGAGTGCGATGGCAGGATCTCGGCTCACTGCAACCTCCGCCTCCTGGGTTCAAACAATTCTCCTGCCTCAGCCTCCCAAATAGCGGGGATTACTGGTGCGTGCCACCACACCCAGCTAATTTTTGTATTTTTGGTAGAGACGGGGTTTCATCATGTTGGCCAGGCTAGTCTCAAACTCCTGACGTCGTGATCCGCCCACCTCAGCCTCCCGAAATGCTTTGGGATTACGGGTGTGAGCCGCCGCGCCGAGCATGGCCATCGTGGCTACATCAGTCCCGGCTAATAGAGATTTTAGCACACTCAGATTCTATTGGCTAATAAGATTTAATTATAATTCTGGGGTATTTAACAATGTCGTTATACAGTCTTCATTGTTGCAAATGGAGAATGAAATCGGGTGCATGTGACACTAATATGACCTGTTCATGCTCTGTCACTTAAACGGAGTTAAGTAACATAGCCCTGAGCAGGAAGACTCCTTCCCCACTTCTGTCCAGGAGCTCCTTACTCGATTCTGGGGAACAGAAAGGCTTTCAGCGGCCAAGGGGAGTGACAACAGCCAGACATGAGACACCTCCTAGAGCCCTTTGGTGTTACCCTTTCCGGTCCATCAGCCACAGTGTCCACCCCAGGTAGCTGGGTCCTGAGTTCACCGTCTCAGGACATTTTTCGACCTGGTTTGTCTGAATTATTATTATTATTGATCATTGAGACAGGGTGTCAGTCCATCGCCAAGACTGGAGTGCAGTGGTGTGATCCTGGCTTACTCAGCCTCCCAGGCTCAGGTGATCCTCCCAGCTCAGCCTCCTGCGTAGCTGGGACCACAGGCAGGCACCACCATGCCTGGCTAAATTTTTTGTATTTTTTGTAGAGACCAGCTCTCGCTATGTTGTCCAGGTTGGTCTCAAACTGCTGCCTCAGCCTCCCAAGGTGCTGGGATTACAGGCATGAGGGACCAAGCTCAGCAATCTGAATTATTTATGCAGAATTTTTTTTTCTCTAGCTGGAAGAGCTGTTTATATGCACGTTTCTTTGGGGGCAACTCTTCTCCATTGTCACAGATTTTTTTTTTCCAAGCCATTCCTGGGGGATTCCTGGGAGCCATGTGGGAGAGGCGTGAGGAAGTGAGACCTTCACCCCGAGACAGGTCCTGACACACCCTCTGGTGCCTCTACTCAAGTGAGGTGAGAGGGGAAACTGGTGTATTTTTAGATGAAGTTTCCTTGGGAAATTGTTTCTATTTTATATTTTATCAGTAATCCCCTGGCTAATGTTTTAAACCAATATTTATAACACTGCCTCAGAGCTTTGGAATAAACAGATTTCCATAAAGAAAAGCTGCTTTAGAGTGCTACACTGTAAGAGGGGCCGGGCAAACAAGAAGGGAC
The DNA here is from genome assembly GCF_000001405.40 of Homo sapiens. NCBI lineage: Eukaryota > Metazoa > Chordata > Mammalia > Primates > Hominidae > Homo > Homo sapiens. The sequence continues at coordinate 108,557 of NT_187558.1, forward strand.
GGAGGAAAGACCACCAAGTGAGAGGCACAGGTGTCAGGACACACAGAGAGCCCGAAAACGAGGCAGAGGTGAGCGGGGACCAGCAGCACAGCGGCACTGACGCGCCAGGGACTTGGGCTCTGCTGGCCTCCTCCCTCGCGGCCAGCAGTGGCAGTGGTGGGAGTAGGCCTGGCTTGTCTGTGGTTGCCTTTGTTGCTTTAATTGAAAGTACTCAAGGCTATTTCTTGTCGCGTCATTTCTGACAGTGTCCGGTGGTCCCTACCCTGTAATGCCAGGAGGTTCCAGCCCCACCCTTCCCTCCCCACTCCCTCTTTCATCTCCCGGATCCTATTAGAGGATTGCTTTTATAGCTGATGAGCTGATGAAGTATGCATTTAGCCCTTTAACCGTAACTGAATTTACCCTGGTGCACATCTGTATGAAGGGTGTGCACCAGGGCTGAGCCGTCTGCTGGGCGAATATGTCCCTCCCTGAGGCCCAGGACCACAACCCCTGAGTCACTCAAAGGAATCGTTCCCAGCCTTAAGGTCAGATGCGCTTTCTCCTTGTCCTCCATTATTTCTTTAAATTCCTGCCACATTTAAGTTTCTTTATATTTAAACTAAGACCTTTTATTTCTTAAACTTCTAATTGCTGTTCTTTTATTATTTTTGATAGAAGTTTGGCTGCTGTAACTGACTGGGAAGCTTAAAATAACAGACAATCATCTCTCACATTTATGGGGACTGGGAAGTCCAAGACCAAGTTGCCATCTGGGGAGGGCCTGTTCCTCACAGCGCCTTCCAGCTCAGGCCTCGTTTATAAGGGCACTCAAGCCTTCCACGACAACGGGTCCTCATGACTTACTCACCTCGGAAAGCCCCACCCCCAAGACCATCACATTGTGGGTGATGGCAGAGCATAAGGTGCCTTCCCCACATGCTCGGGTTGGCCCAGCGTCTCACGCTAGCAGCTACGTGGAATAGTTATTTTTTCTGGAGAACTCTGGGACCCCTCTGATGTCTTGGAGCACCCACACAGGCCGTTCACTGTGCACGCTGTGAGGCTGTCGTCTTGGAGCACCCACACAGGCCGTTCACTGTGCACGTGGTGAGGCTGTCCTCTGGGGAGTTCTGCTGTTGTATGGGTTCTGTCTGTGTCAATGTCCCAGCGGGAACGCAGGGCACACTAGCGTCATCCCCAGAGGGCTTGGTAAGGGGACTGTTTGCAGAGACATAGGCAGAGGGCTGGAAAACTACCAAAAAAGTGCAGTGTTCTGGACCTAATAATAGCAGAGCTATTCTCACCCTGGTCTGAAGGCAGGAGGGGAGGAGCAGTTAATGGATTCTGGAAGTCAGGTTGCACAGAGTCACCTTGAAAGATGCCATGACCTTCACCGAGGGCCAGACAGAGACTAAGATGACCCCATAGGAGAATAAGACCTAGACCTCATCCTCCTGCCTCCTGCCAGTCCCTGCCAGGGGTCGCCAATGGCAAAACAGGACTGGAAGCCAGAGGCCATGGAAGCCCATGGATGAAGTCCACAGGCCAGCCTCCCCGAGAGCAGCCTGGACGGTCCGCAGGAGACGTCTCCTGTCTTAGGCGTCCCACGCCGTGTGCTCCTGTTCAGCCCTGCCGAGGTGGAAGCTTGGAGTGGCTCACGGTGGATGCATTGACGCTGCAGACGCCAGCAAGTGCTACAAACCAGAGCTGGCCTTTAACTCAGACTGATGGAGAAGGTGTTAATAATGCAGATTAGACTTAAAAGTGTTGAAGCCATTGCACTGTGAACAGCAAAAAAATTGAAGAACTCTTCTGGCATTTAAAAACAATTACTCAGTTCAGCAGAGAAGTCACTGACAAACGAGATCACACTGACTGCTTTGTCGTTTTGGTTTTGTCTTACTCATTAATGCAAATAAGAACATTCACTAGCATCTGTGTCGGGCCTACCCTCCCTGGTCAAATACAGCTACAGTCTCCCTGCAGATACGAGTTTTCCAGAAATGAGCCGATGTTTTCTGCGAGAATCAATTGGTCATATACAATTTACAAAAATGAGTACTGTATACTATATTTGTAAACTGTACACTGCAGATGCTTTATTTCACTGAAATTTATAATACACTTATCCATGTATATGCATGCATGCATTTTTGTTCCTGAGATCCAGCTGTGAAATGTTTACCAGCACATAAATTACCAGCACATGCTCTTTTTTGTTAACCTACTAGGTAAAATCTTCATTTATTACATCAAATTCTTGTAGTTTTTGTATTGCAATTATGCAGATATTGATTATCGCAGTATTACTGCAATTATACAGATACCACAATTTCAGATATTGATCAGCGTGTTCAGTTGGTTTCTAAGGAGGTTTACTTACCTCATGGTACACCTAGTTTGCATAGTTTGATTATATTTAACTCTTATGCTAATTGGGGGAAGTCATTGATTTATTGGACAGATGCACCTGTGGTCTTCCCTGAGCACATCCTGGCCAAGGATGCTGCCCCCAGGAGATTTGAGAAGTCCTGTAAGGATCATATCAGTATTTTCAAATACTTATAGAAAAGCCAGAGGGATTGACCCAGAATTACCAATATAAGCTTGACCCTGAGATAACAATGCCATTTTATGTTTGCATGCATAAAACCAATGCAAGAGGCTGATGACTCCAGATCCCTTATATAAGCCAATAAAAAGTAGTTTCATTTTTTATTTCATTTAAAAAAGTGTACCATTAACCTAAAGCCTGCTTGTAAAACCAGTTTGTTTCTGAAGCATTAGCTCAAAGCTCACTTGCATTTGGTGAGAAGTCCCTCACGTGTGGCTGCCCTGGCTGGGAGCTCTGAGCTCTGGGAGCCATTGGAACTGCTAATCCCACCAGTGCCGTCTGATTCCCTCTGCTCTAATGGAGGTCTTTTGCCGGGTATCCAGTGGCATTTTCTGGGCTTGGGAGTCAGTAATTCCCAGTGATCAAGTGTCTCTGCTCTGAAAATGCCTTTCTTTGTGATATGAAGCTGTCAGTGATGGAGACTGACCTTTTCATAAGTCAGTGAATTTTCTTTCTCTGAGTCATTTTAGAGAGTGAATCTGAACTCTCCAGTCTGTCCTAAGAAGACATTAATTGGAGCAGGCATGGAACCTTCAGCTTTCCCAGTCACCTGCCGGGTTACTTGGCTTAACCTGGGAATTAACCAGTTAATAAGGTTGTTGAAATGGAAAGAATCCAGGAGGCTGCAGTGTGAGGCTGATTTGCTGTCTTTATTAAGTGAGGAAATGAGAAATGGGAAGAATCCAGGAGGCTGCAGTGTGAGGCTGATTTGCTGTCTTTATTAAGTGAGGAAACGACAGCAAAGCACTTCTAGGCTTCTCACAGCTGAGCACACGAAGACTAAGCCCTCTTCCCGCCGTAGCCAGTGAGGAGAGGATCCCTCTTCCCAAGCCCCCTCAAGCAGTGGCTCCCGCTCACTGGAGGCTGGAGTTTCTAGGGCTTGTCCCTGTCCAGAGCTGCTGCCTCAGGTGTGAGGGTGACTGCCCAGCCCCCGCGCCACAGGCCCTCCTCTCACCCGGACCTCAGGACCAGTTGGTAGGCCCCAGGCTTCCACCTTCAGGGGCATGGGGACGCTGGCCCCTGTGTCCGCCGAGGACGTCCTGGCTCCTTTTGGGGGTCTCTCCTGTCAGGACAGGTTCCGTGGGGTTGGAGGGACTCAGCCTGTTTCTGTGCCATCCGCCTTTAACGGCCCAGAAACGTTAGTGACTGAGAGTAAAATAAGGTCGACTTCACAGTTTCTTTCTCCTCAGCAGTGTCTGGGGGCTGGTCCTCAGCCATGACCGCCGGCCCTGGTCTGTCATCATCCTGATAATTTTCCAGAACTCCACCTGCAGCCGTCATCCTGGGTGGCCCTGCTCCATCTGTACCCTCTGCCCTGCCCTGGTCCTGGACCTGCTCCGCTCTGCATTGCGCTCTGCGGGACCTGAGAGGTTTCTCAGCAGGAGCTGAATAGTGTTGAAAAGGCTTCCAGCCCGCACCTCAGTGGGGCACTTTTCTTCATGGGACATGCGGGGTTGTCTGGGCTGGAGAACACAGATTTGGGGGCACTCCGGAAGGTGGCAGAAGGTTGGCCCTACACGGGACCCAGTGGTCATCTCTGCAAATGCCGGGGCTGGGCTGTTCCTGCCTCAGAGGCCTCCCTCCTCCAGAGCAGGGGTGGAGAAATCAGCCTGGAGAGCCTCACGGCGCAGGAGGGATTTGCCGGGGCTGCCTCTGGCATAGAGCCCCCTGCAAACAGAGGAGCTGTTTTATAGCACTGGATTTAGCTTGCAGGGTCCTGGAACACCTAGAGACACCAGAGGGGGAGACCGCAGATGAAGACCTCCTGGACGGCCGGGCAACCAGTGGCAGTCCCACGAGCCACGGGGCCGTGGCCAGCCTCCTTTCGGGACACAGTCCAGCCTGGAGGGAAGGAGGGGACAGGGGACCTTTCTGATTCTTCTTTTTCCTTTTCCTTTGGAATGAGAAAACAGCCTCTACGTTCTCCCATTCACGTCTGTCATCAGCTGAAGGAGCTCTTCCCCTTTTCCCCACTGACTCTGCACCCTCCACGGGGACAGCCTTGCTTTCGGGGCACAATGAAAGAAACATGACTGGAGACATTACCAAGACCTGTCACTTGCTACCTTCTCTTTCTGAAGCCGTAAACATGAGGAAAGACTCATCGTTAGGTTATTATGAATGATGGACCAGCTTATGTGTTTCAATGAAAGCTAGGCTATCACTGAGCTTGCTGGCTTAAAGCTGTGTGAGCCCACTGCTTAATTTTTGGGACACAAAAGGTCTAGAAATGTCGCCTGGCCTTTTCCAGTAGAGGTTGGCCCAAGAGCATGAATTTTCTGGCCAGCATTTCGTTTCTTTTTCCTTCACATATGTTGCCAGCACTCAGGGCCTGTGGACCTGCCTTCTGTGCAGGGTGTCTTGTCTTTCGGGGCCGTGGCTGCTTCCGTAGGAGGCATGGCAGGTGCCAGCCTGGGGCTGAGCTCTCCCCACGTGGAGCTCAGGGCCTCAGAGGCCAAAGGCACATCCCTCAGAGGGCCTGGAAATGGAAGGCCGGGCTGGGTTTACGGCACACCCAGGCCGGGCTCTAGTGGCTCATGGTCACAGCCTGTCCACACAGCATGGCGCTCCAGAGAATGCTCAGAGGCTTAGGCTCAGACAGACATGAATTCACGTCTGATGGGCGGAGCACCCGTGTGACCATGGCAGGTTGCCTCCTTTTTATCTGCAAAGCTGTGGCAATGATGCCCACCTCCAAGGACTCCAGCGAGGCACATGTGAGACGCTGCATGGGAAGAGCGTCCTGCAAACCCGGCCAGATGGCAGCTGCACCGCCCCTCTGCCAGGTGTCCCTGGAGATGCCTGCCTACCCAGCTCTGTTTCTGTTCACATCTCAGTGTGACAAGCAGCCTGGAAGGGCCATGCTCGAAAGGCTTGGGCCAGGAGCTCTTACCTGGTGAGCACAGACTGCGGCTTCCCAGACACCAACAGGGGAGGGGACAGATGTTGCGCCATGCTACGCCATTGACTTTTCTGCAACTGATACGATGGGAATAATACTCCACTTCAGTTCACAGGGTGGGGGCAATAGTGAGTGAGAGCTGGACAAGCCAGGGAATATTGAGAGACCAAAGACACCTGTTGTGGATTTCCTGGGCCATGAGAGCCGCCTCTTGGACGTGCAGGGTTGACGTAGTCAGCCACTCTTCTGAAACAGCGGCCTGGGGACCAGGCAGCCACGGTGAACCCTGGTACATCACAGAGGGTGCTGACATGGGCTGTACTGTGGGAGCTGCTGTGTAATCATTGCACACTGGGCAGTGGTGTTTGGCATTCCCTGTGATTACGTTCAGCCACCTAGACAGAACCCCAAATCACGGTGGGTGAAACAAGATGGAGCGCATTTTCTTCCATGCACAGGAAGCATGGCAGCTGGCACTTACAGCCAGCGTGAAGCTCCCAGGGGCTCCAGAGCCAGGAGCTCTCTGCTCCTGGGCCTCACATCCCTGCTCATGGCTTCCATGCTCCCTGCCAGCGTGGCTGCTGGAGCTCCAGCCTTCTCATCACAATGCGTACAGGGAGGCTTCCAGAAGCTCTGGGTCAGTATTCCGGCGTGCATGTCATCCACCCTAACGCACTCACCCACATGCGCCGAGCAAAGTTGGAGCGGGTGGAGAAGGGCCTGGCGGTGCAGAGGCCCCAGGATTTCTGGACAGGGCAGCTGTGGCTGCAGCAGGGAGGTGCAGTGCTGCGGGGAGGCGGTTGACAGCTGTCGCCTTTTGCCACTTCTGAGCCCAGCCACCAAATTGGTCCACGTCTCTTAGAAAATTCTGTGACATGGCAGATTCATTGACACTCCTGGTCATAACTGCTTCCCTTCTCCCACTAGACCACCTTCCCTCCCCAGCCCCCTTTTGGTAGCACAAATACAGCTGCTGTGTGTATTGGATCCAGCAGGCGTGGATCCAATTAAACCTACACTATTTGTTTCACTTTTCTTCAGAAAGAGCCTATGAAATATGAGTTTCGGGGGCAAAGTTTTTATCATCAGAGCTGTTCCTTTCCAGCAGACCTTTCAGTTCTCAGCAGCAGCCCTTCTTTCTGGGGTAGGAACTGAGCTGGTCTGTCGGATGCCCCGCCTCGTTCCAAATGGGGTCCATCCCTGAGACAAAGGCACATGATACAAAGCAAAGCCGCACAAACCTGCGGGAATCAGAGTGAGGGAGATGGAGGTGGAACAGCCACGCGGCCCGAGGAAGCAGCTACAGAATGAAGTCTGTTAGTTCCCATTCAGGCACCAGAGTGGGCCACACATTTGCTGGTAGCTTCTATCGACCAGTGCAAAAAGGCGACCGAGGTCTGTGATGTCCCAGAGTGAACATGACAGAGCGCAGGGGACACTCGGGCCTGAGCCCCCTGCCACCAAGGAAGAGGACCTTGAGGAAGGCATGGGTGCCACCTGTCCACTGCACACACAGCCCTTCTAACGAACACGGACCCTCACGGGGCCCGGCGGGGCTCAGACACCGATTCCAACACGGACCCTCACGGGCCCCGCGGGGCTCAGACACCGATTCCAACACGGACCCTCACGGGCCCCGCGGGGCTCAGACACCGATTCTCACACGGACCCTCACGGGCCCCGCGGGGCTCAGACACCGATTCCAACACGGACCCTCACGGGGCCCCGCGGGGCTCAGACACCGATTCCAACACGGACCCTCACGGGCCCCGCGGGGCTCAGACACCGATTCCAACACGGACCCTCACGGGGCCCCGCGGGGCTCAGACACCGATTCCAACACGGACCCTCACGGGGCCCCGCGGGGCTCAGACACCGATTCTAACACAGACCCTCACGGGCCCCCGCGGGGCTCAGACACCGATTCCAACACGGACCCTCACGGGCCCCGCGGGGCTCAGACACCGATTCCAACACGGACCCTCACGGGGCCAGGCGGGGCTCAGACACCGATTCTAACACGGACCCTCACGGGGCCCGGCGGGGCTCAGACACCGATTCCAACACGGACCCTCACGGGCCCCCGCGGGGCTCAGACACCGATTCCAACACGGACCCTCACGGGCCCCGCGGGGCTCAGACACCGATTCTAACACGGACCCTCACGGGGCCAGGCGGGGCTCAGACACCGATTCCAACACGGACCCTCACGGGGCCAGGCGGGGCTCAGACACCGATTCTAACACGGACCCTCACGGGGCCCGGCGGGGCTCAGACACCGATTCCAACACGGACCCTCACGGGCCCCGGCGGGGCTCAGACACCGATTCCAACACGGACCCTCACGGGCCCCCGCGGGGCTCAGACACCGATTCCAACACGGACCCTCACGGGCCCCGCGGGGCTCAGACACCGATTCCAACACGGACCCTCACGGGGCCCCGCGGGGCTCAGACACCGATTCTAACACGGACCCTCACGGGGCCCGGCGGGGCTCAGACACCGATTCCAACACGGACCCTCACGGGGCCCCGCGGGGCTCAGACACCGATTCCAACACAGACCCTCACGGGGCCCGGCGGGGCTCAGACACCGATTCCAACACGGACCCTCACGGGGCCCGGCGGGGCTCAGACACCGATTCCAACACGGACCCTCACGGGGCCCCGCGGGGCTCAGACACCGATTCCAACACAGACCCTCACGGGCCCCGCGGGGCTCAGACACCGATTCCCACACGGACCCTCACGGGGCCCGGCGGGGCTCAGACACCGATTCCAACACGGACCCTCACGGGCCCCGGCGGGGCTCAGACACCGATTCCAACACAGACCCTCACGGGGCCCGGCGGGGCTCAGACACCGATTCCAACACGGACCCTCACGGGGCCCGGCGGGGCTCAGACACCGATTCCAACACGGACCCTCACGGGGCCCGGCGGGGCTCAGACACCGATTCCAACACGGACCCTCACGGGGCCCGGCGGGGCTCAGACACCGATTCCAACACGGACCCTCACGGGCCCCGCGGGGCTCAGACACCGATTCCAACACGGACCCTCACGGGGCCCCGCGGGGCTCAGACACCGATTCTAACACAGACCCTCACGGGCCCCCGCGGGGCTCAGACACCGATTCCAACACGGACCCTCACGGGGCCCGGCGGGGCTCAGACACCGATTCCAACACGGACCCTCACGGGCCCCGCGGGGCTCAGACACCGATTCCAACACAGACCCTCACGGGGCCCCGCGGGGCTCAGACACCGATTCCAACACAGACCCTCACGGGGCCCGGCGGGGCTCAGACACCGATTCTAACACGGACCCTCACGGGGCCCGGCGGGGCTCAGACACCGATTCCAACACGGACCCTCACGGGCCCCGCGGGGCTCAGACACCGATTCCAACACGGACCCTCACGGGGCCCCGCGGGGCTCAGACACCGATTCCAACACAGACCCTCACGGGCCCCCGCGGGGCTCAGACACCGATTCCAACACGGACCCTCACGGGGCCCCGCGGGGCTCAGACACCGATTCTAACACAGACCCTCACGGGGCCCCGCGGGGCTCAGACACCGATTCTAACACGGACCCTCACGGGGCCCGGCGGGGCTCAGACACCGATTCCAACACGGACCCTCACGGGCCCCGCGGGGCTCAGACACCGATTCCAACACAGACCCTCACGGGGCCCCGCGGGGCTCAGACACCGATTCCAACACAGACCCTCACGGGGCCCGGCGGGGCTCAGACACCGATTCTAACACGGACCCTCACGGGGCCCGGCGGGGCTCAGACACCGATTCCAACACGGACCCTCACGGGGCCCGGCGGGGCTCAGACACCGATTCCAACACGGACCCTCACGGGCCCCGCGGGGCTCAGACACCGATTCCAACACGGACCCTCACGGGGCCCCGCGGGGCTCAGACACCGATTCCAACACGGACCCTCACGGGGCCCGGCGGGGCTCAGACACCGATTCCAACACGGACCCTCACGGGCCCCGCGGGGCTCAGACACCGATTCCAACACGGACCCTCACGGGGCCCCGCGGGGCTCAGACACCGATTCTAACACAGACCCTCACGGGCCCCCGCGGGGCTCAGACACCGATTCTAACACAGACCCTCACGGGCCCCGCGGGGCTCAGACACCGATTCTAACACAGACCCTCACGGGCCCCGCGGGGCTCAGACACCGATTCTAACACAGACCCTCACGGGCCCCCGCGGGGCTCAGACACCGATTCCAACACGGACCCTCACGGGGCCCCGCGGGGCTCAGACACCGATTCTAACACAGACCCTCACGGGCCCCCGCGGGGCTCAGACACCGATTCTCACACGGACCCTCACGGGCCCCGCGGGGCTCAGACACCGATTCCAACACGGACCCTCACGGGGCCCGGCGGGGCTCAGACACCGATTCCAACACGGACCCTCACGGGGCCCCGCGGGGCTCAGACACCGATTCTCACACGGACCCTCACGGGCCCCGCGGGGCTCAGACACCGATTCCAACACGGACCCTCACGGGGCCCGGCGGGGCTCAGACACCGATTCCAACACGGACCCTCACGGGGCCCCGCGGGGCTCAGACACCGATTCCAACACGGACCCTCACGGGGCCCGGCGGGGCTCAGACACCGATTCTAACACGGACCCTCACGGGGCCCGGCGGGGCTCAGACACCGATTCCAACACGGACCCTCACGGGGCCCGGCGGGGCTCAGACACCGATTCCAACACGGACCCTCACGGGGCCCGGCGGGGCTCAGACACCGATTCCAACACGGACCCTCACGGGGCCCGGCGGGGCTCAGACACCGATTCCAACACGGACCCTCACGGGCCCCGCGGGGCTCAGACACCGATTCTAACACAGACCCTCACGGGGCCCGGCGGGGCTCAGACACCGATTCCAACACGGACCCTCACGGGCCCCGGCGGGGCTCAGACACCGATTCCAACACGGACCCTCACGGGCCCCCGCGGGGCTCAGACACCGATTCCAACACGGACCCTCACGGGCCCCCGCGGGGCTCAGACACCGATTCCAACACGGACCCTCACGGGGCCCCGCGGGGCTCAGACACCGATTCTCACACGGACCCTCACGGGCCCCGCGGGGCTCAGACACCGATTCCAACACGGACCCTCACGGGCCCCGGCGGGGCTCAGACACCGATTCCAACACGGACCCTCACGGGCCCCCGCGGGGCTCAGACACCGATTCCAACACGGACCCTCACGGGGCCCCCGCGGGGCTCAGACACCGATTCCAACACGGACCCTCACGGGGCCCCCGCGGGGCTCAGACACCGAGGCTGACACACTGCCCTGTGCACACCTGCCTGGAGCCGGTGGCGGAACCCAGGGAGAGACAGCGTGTCCTCCAGCGTCTCCCCAGCTCCTCCGTGGTCAGTGGAGAGTCCATGGGAACGTTTGAGGCTTTGATCCTTGGCAAGAATCTTTTTTTTTTTTTGAGATGGAGTCTCACTCTGTCGCCCAGGCTGGAGTGCAGAGTGGTGTGATCTCGGCTCACTGCAAGCTCCACCTCCCAGGTTCACGCCATTCTCCTGCCTCAGCCTCCCGAGTAGCAGGGACTACAGGCACCCGCCACCACGCCTGGCTAATTTTTTGTATTTTTAGTACAGACAGGGTTTCACTGTGTTAGCCAGGATGGTCTCAATCTCCTGACCTCGTGATCCACCCTCCTCGGCCTCCCAAAGTGCTGGGATTACAGGCGTGAGCCCCCGCGCCCGGCCGGCAAGAATCCTGCGTGCGGATGTTAAACCAGGGGCCAAATGCAGCCAGGCTTGCACAGTGGGCTTGTCTTCAGCAAGATGGGGGCTGCCTCAGAATCACCAGGAACGTTCGATAAAAATGGAGACTTCCGGAACCTGCCCTAACCTACTGAACAGTATCGTTGCTGGTGGGTGCCCTGCAGTCTGCATTTGGCAAACTGGCATAGCGAGTCCCATGCCGTGTCGAGCCTGAGCCCCACGTTTCATCAGGGATTAGGGTCACTGGAGCTCACGAGGCCGCACCTGTTCCTGGCTGGGTGCGCTTGGGCACTTTGCCCGTCTACGCCTGGAACTTCTCTGGTGTAAACTGGAATAATATCTCCTTTACATGGCACAGAACTAAAGATTCTTTGAGTTCCAGGTAATAAAAACCAAGGCCAGACTAAATCAGACAAAATGACATTTAAAACATAATAAAGACCGGATTGCAGCTGACAGTGTATCTAGAGATCCACAGTTCACTGGGCCCCCACCCTGCCTGTCGCTCAGAAGTCTCCCCTCTGTGTGGCTTCACTCGCAGGCCGCTCCTCTGCAAGGAGCAGCAGGGTGGCCGCCATCAGCCTGAGCTCATCTGCCCTCAGGGCTGATGGTCCTGGACAAACAGCTGTCTCTCTGTTCATCAAACTTGAGTTCATAGCCTTCCAGAGGTGGCTGCAAGGCGGGCGGTGTGCTCACCTGGGCCGATCACACCCCTGAGAGTTCATAGCCTTCCAGAGGTGGCTGCAAGGCGGGCGGTGTGCTCACCTGGGCCGATCACACCTCTGAGGGACCGAGCGCTCTGAGGACGGTGCCCCAGGTCACACCCGTGAGGGGCACACATCCCCTGGGCTTCAGAGCAACGCAGCCGTGTCCTCTCCACAAGGTGAGTTTGAGGAATCTGTGCACATGGGAAACACAGCCTGCGTTTCTGAGAACAAGGGCTTTTCAGGGCCCCTCCCTCTAGGCCCTCCAGGCCTGGGGGGACAGGTCCTGGTGCCACATTCATAGAACTGCACGGCCCTGGCTCCTTCCAGGACCCAGAGGCCTGGACAGGAAGTGCTGGAGCAAAAGCGTTCCCATTCACACCGGATTCCACCAGCTCCTCAGGGGCTTCCGTCCCAGCCGGGGCGGGGGGCGGACACCTGAGTGGAGAGGCAGAGACCTCCCAGGAGGGTGGTGCGTGGCCCCTCCCTACAGCCCATGGGGCGACCGCACGGGAAGCCGCTGGAGAGCCGCCACTGAGCAACGTGTTTTCCATGAAATAAAACTAAAAGGCTCCTGGTCTCTGTTTACCAGGTAGATAAAGAAATCATAGTCATCAAAAGTAGCAAAGTGTTCATTAAACTTGATACAAAGTATATATTTAGGTGTCTGAATGTTTCCTGATGGAAGCATTTTCAAGGGCATTTGACTCAGCTATGGGAACCAAACATTTACATGAAGGAAGGTTTAGAGGTGAACGTCCACTGCGGAGGTCGGAGAAGCACTCAGGTCAGCGGGCAGAGCGGCTAGTCGGTGGGCCGAGCTCTCTGCTACCCCCGCAGGAGTGTCCCGACGCCATCCCAGAAGCAGCACCTGTGGGCCACGGCGTTTGCTTAGAGCCTGGACTGAGGCTGCCCGGACGGGGCCCCTCACCCGGCCAGAGTTAGGGGTGCCGCTGCCACCCCCATGGACCCGCTTCGGGCTGCTCAGTCCTTGTTCATTTGCATCCATCTCGGTTTTTAGGAAGGCAAGTTTCTCAGGAGCTCAGAAAATTAATTTTGTAGTGATTAGGCTATCCCCAGAGTAACACGTTCCAACTGTCACCAGCACGGACTTCTCATGAAGCCTGGGACCATTTGCAAGGACTCCCGGGGGTGTGTGTGTGTGTGTGTGTGTGTGTGTTTTCCTGTGTCCTCTGAGTAGACACCGCTATGAATGTAGACTTGAGGTTTCTTGGCAAACATGTGTCCTCACTTATGTGGCTGAGGATTCTTCCCCGACTCAGGATGCAAGTGCCAGGGGACCCGAGTCTCCGGGGAAAGCTGGGTGCATGCACGGTTCTTTGATCCGTCATTTGAATAATTAGCTCTTAATTAGCTGTCTGAGTATGATCATCAGCTTGAATGTAAGTTTCTTTAGAGGACACTGTGCTTTCCCATCCTGGTAAGTGGCGATGATGGGTTTCTGGGTATGAGGTTAATTTGAGGAGGAATTCTCACCTCCTAGAGCCTGGCAGACAGCAGTCATGTGGCGCGTTAGCCAATTACCGGGAAAGCTTCCTGTGCCCGGACGGAATCTGCTTCCAGGAGCTGGGGGAGAGGAGGCTGCACATTGCTCCTGGTCACTGCCGGCGCCTTCTGTATCCTCTGACCCACCCTCCTACGGGAGGGAACGTCTCCGCTGGGGAAGACGACCGTGTGGGCTCATCTCCAGCCACTGTGGTGACTATTGTCGTCCCCTTCACTCCGGATGCTCTTTCCCCCATGGCCAGATGCCAGCAGGGTTTGTCCCCAGGACCCTGCAGGAGATCCCCTCTTCATCATCCTGGGAGTGTGACGTGGTCTGCTAAGCAAAGCTCCTTCCCTGCAGCAGGTGAGTCCTAGCTCAGAGGACACGGACGGTGATTTTCCAACTGTCGTGCTCAGAACAAACTTTCACATCCAAGAAATGTTGCAGACATCCTAGAAAGGATGAATCAAACCCACAGGCCCTCAGGCCCCCATGCAACACTGTGCTGCCTTGGCACAGAAATATTTACAGCAGAGTTCCCGTGTGAGCCTGCAGACACAGCAACCATTTTTTATAACAGTTCTCCAAAGTCTCTCCTCTTGAAAACAGAGCAAGTTGCACCCTGGTCTCCGTATCACATCGGCCTGCAGTTTCACACGATCTGCTTGGTTCGGAGTGCTGTCTTTCAGACCTGGCTGTGGCCACATGCTCCTCACAGCTTGCACATCCCTCAGTCTCGGCACCACGCCACACGGGAGGGGTTCCACCACGTCTCTGAGCTTAGGGTGGCCGGTGGTGCCCAGGGGAGGGGGAAGCCCGTGGCAGGCGTGGGATGGATTTGCTGAGTGACTCTAACCACTCCTTATGGAATGAGCACCACCTCGCCAGGGGCCTTGTCCTTGCCATCCTGGGGCCACACGTGTGGCTGCAAGGTCCCTCTGGCAAACCTCCTTTCCCTCTGGGGCTGGTTGAGGACTCCAGGGGGCCAGCCTGGAGACCAAGGCCGTGCTGTGTGGTCAGCAGACCAGTGAGGAGTCAGCAGACCAGTGAGGGGTCAGCGTTCTGCTGTGGCTGCCTGGACTCCTCTTCCTCTCAAGACAGCAGTGTCTGGGGACTGCCAAAACCTCTGCAGGGACCAGCAGCACAGGATCACAGAATTCCACACTTCCTGCTAAATCGGGGTCTCCTTTTCATCCGTCACATCTCCCTTCCCGACTGCACCATCAACATCAGTTCCTCATCTCCACAGCCACCAAGGGCAGCTCAGCTCAAGCTCTAGGACTGGCCACCCCTCTTCCTGGACTGTGATGATGGAGAGAGGCCCCAGTCCCAGGCAGCCACGAGGACGGCGCCTGTCCAGACACACAAAGCAAGGGCCCCGCAGGAGAAGCAAGCCTCCCTCACTCCAGATGCCTCGCCATGAAGCCGTACACCCACCCAGCCGACCTGCACGCGAGAGCTGCTCATTCGTTTTTCGGCTCGGCAGCTGCACGACCTTGTGGGTTCCTGAGCTGCTGGCTGGGAAGCTGAGGTTGGACTCAGACAGGCAGGAGGCACGCAGGCCCCGGAGTGAGGCGCCACCGTGGCTCAGGGCAGAGAATGCTGATCTGAGGAGGGAACATCTAAACTAAGGCTTGGAGGGTGGGTGGTCGGGGGCGAGGGAGGAGTGTGCCCCAGCCTCCTATCTGACCTGAACGTGCCCATTTCCATCTTGGCAGGTGCTGAGGCAGTGATGCTGCCGGGCGGTTCCACGGCCTCTCTCCCCAGGGCTCTGAGTGTCAGGTGGGGGTCCAGGCTGAGGCTCAAGTCAGGTCTGCTCTGTGTGCCCCTCACTCTGCTGAGCTCCAGGCATGTTTTTCCTGAAGCCGATTCCCTGGAACACATTGCAGGGCCTGCGGACATCCACCAGCGTCCACGTGGTCAAAGCCCACCTTAGTGGGGTGGAGAAAAATGTTCCTTCCATGGCCATCAGGAGCAGGGCTGACCATCGCAGGGAGGGCTCACATCTGCCCAGTCTCTGCCAGCGAGTCTCCTCTCAGATCCCACGTGGGCACTCCCTCCCCACCCCTTCGTCTCTAAGATTAAATCCAGGTGCCTTGAGCCCCAGTCCCCATGTTCCCCTCAAACCCCTGTTCCTCCCCACAGAGACACATGGCTCCAGCTCCACACCCGAGCACCTGCTGTTTACGGTTTGTGCTGACCGGATGCTGTTTCTCCTTCCATCTCCACCTGCAAATGTTCTGCTGACCCTCAGGCCGGTTTGAAGACCAGCACAGCCCATGTGAGCAGGGCACAGGGCCCCATCCTGAGTGGCTGGCCTGTCCGGGGGAGGAAGTTCCACCCCACACCCACCCCACCACCACAGGATGTGCCCAGAAGGCGGAGGGACTGGCCACTGTGGGGGCTCCCATGTCCAGGCCGGGCCTCCTCAGCATAAAATCAGCTGACAGCAGCCTCAACGCGCCACTGCCTGAGAGGACACCGCCTCTCCAAACCTGGGAAGAAGGCAGCCACGCCCTGGGGAGGGAACAGGTGGAGGTGGGTGCCAGGACTAGCCAGGACTTCCTCCCAAATATTTAGAAACTTGATTGCAATGAAAAGATAGCATCACTGAATTAAAGACGTCATTTATTATGGAGCTGAGATTTGGTTTGCCCAGCAGCTTAAAACAATGTCACTCACAGCCTTGTGGCACCTTGGGACGGGCAGGTGCCTACACAATTATTTACTTAAGAACATACCTTCCTTTAAAATAACCAATGTTGTACTTAGATAAATGTATTTACATGGGAGACTTTCTGTCACAGATTTGATGTCTCGTGATCATTTCTCTTAGTATACATTAAAAGTTAATTATTGTCAGAAAAAGTTATCTGAAACCTGGAACTAAGTCCCTAAAGTGGGCAGGGCTGGGGGGAAGGTTCCCGAGACCTGGGCTGGTTCCCAAGACCTGGGCTGCGGGGGACTTAGTTCACCTCCCAGTTTGCTGTTCAAAGGTTCCAGACTCAGAGACGTGTCCCATTATCTGGATTTTAGCCGAAGGCAGATGCAGTGATCTCTGTCCAGGGAGACAGATAATCCACAGATTTCAGGCCGGCTGGACATTAACCAGTCCATAACCCAGAGGTCTTATCTCAGCCTTTCTTGTCAAATTGCCTGTAAACACCTCTTCTGTGAAGTGTGCTCAGCAGCCAGTCACAGCGTCTGCCATAACATCGCCCCTCATTTGTTAATGAATTCAATGAAATCTTCGACGTGTGCCCATTTTCCATTTGCTGGAGAATCACGATTTTACCCTTTTGAAAATTATACGTTAGCAACCATAAACTGTTCTCTAAGTACATACAGGCAGCAGCTTAAAATCCTCCTGTGGGCTAAAGGCTGGGCAGTCCTATCAGGGCTGTGATGGGGGGAGGTGGCTGGTTTGTGGAGGAACTTCCCCTCCCTCCCTCCCTCCTTCCTTCTTTCCTTCCCTCTCTTCTTCCCCCTTCCCTCCCTCCTTCCCTCCCTCCCTCCTTCCCTCCCTCCCTCCTTCCCTCCCTTCCTCCTTCCCTCCCTCCCTCCTCCCTTCCTCCTTCCTATTCTCTGTCCCTCCGTCCTTCCCTCCCTCCCTCCTTCCCTCCCTTCCTCCCTCTCTCCCTCTTTCCCTCCTTCCTTATGTGAGACATGTGAGAGTCTCACCCCAGCCTTGGGGGACACAGCAGGACGCAGGCAGTGGGTGTAGTGGCCACTGGGTGGGCTGGAGGGGGCTGCTCAGAGGAAGTCTCTCTGAGTGCTTGGGGAATGAAAGGCCTTTAATGAGTAGAGACCGGAAAGGAGCAAATGCTTGTGTGTTTCTCAAGAAAACAGTGTGAGGGAAGGCACAGAAGCAGCTGGAGGAACAGGAACAGCTGGGGAAAGGGCACGCGTGGCCAGACAAGGAGGTCTAGAAGAGGCAGTGCCCTCACTCTCTGCACAGACCTCGTGCTGGGGATGGATGGAGACCAAGAGTCTGACCTTCTAGTGGGGGGTGTTTGAAAGCCCCTTAGGGCCCTGCCACCTGTGGTTTGGTGTTGACAACACCTGCTCTTCCCTGGGGGATCCGTGGACCTCCCTGCATGGTGCATGTGGCAGGGCCCTGTGGCTCCAGAAAATTCCTGGCCACCGTTGGGGTGCGGGGCAGGGTCAGTGTGCCCGGGTCCATGCCAGGCCACCGCTGCCCCCCAGGCTCACGACAGGACGGCGAGTGCTCCACACAGGTGGGGTGCCCTAGTTCTGTGCAGGTGCACGTCCGAGTGTGGCCTCTGAATCAATTCCCTGAATCAGCCCCACAATGGGGATGTCTGTGTAGACACAGCCCCTCGTTCCCAGCCCTACCAGCAACCTGAAAGGAGCCGTGTTCCTCGAGCCTATAAAATTAACCCCTTCAGCTGGCTGCTTACCCTACAGTGTCTCTGGTGAACCCACAAGGCCCAGCCCTTCCCAACTGGCCAGGACCTGACCCAGGAGCTGGTCTGCGGGAAGGCGTGGGCTTAGAAGGAAGTGGGGTGTGGGGCTCACGGCCCCTTCCTGAGGCTGCAGCTGCCCTGGGGAGGCCCCTGTGCTGAGACATCTTGGAGTGAGGGTGTCCGCTGAGAAGAGGGCTTAGCCGAGGCCCCTGGGTGGAGGTTCCTGGTGTTCACCCACCCTCCCTTCCTCCCGAGACCTGGCCGGCTGGCGTCCCCTTTGGTGCCGGTTGGAGGCTCTGCCTGCAGGCTGGGCTCCTCCCCAGTGGGAGCTGGTGTTCCTGGTATCACAAGAGCGTCTCCTGCTTCCTCTTCTTGCACAGGCAGGACCGTCAGGCCAGCCTCAGAGCCCTTTTCTTCTCCCAGCTCCCCCAGAAGTTGCCCCCTAATCACCCCTTCCAAGGACATTTCCCTTATTTTCCACTCAAGACAGCGCGAGGCCATCCCTCCTGCCCCCGTGTCAGAGCCCCCGAGGCCCCCAAGGCAGACACGAAGCTCATCCCGAGAGGGACCTCGTGAGGGCTGCGGTGGCCCAGCGGGAGGTGCTGCGTCCTGACCACACACATCACAAGCTCCAAGTCAGCACCTGTGTGAGGAACAGGCTCTATTCACGTCTCTCAACGTGGAGAATGAGCTTCTACCGTGCTAGGAGCTTCCTTGCCTGCTGTGCACTTTCGTCTGATCAGCAGCCAGATGCTTTTACAGTGTTCCCACAAGGACAGCGAGCACCAGGACCCCACCTCTCGATTGTATTGTGTCCAGTTCTACTGCGACTCCAGGATAGCCCCTGAGAAAGGAGAACACAAACACACAGAAAGGGAACATCAGCTCTGCCCTCCCTGAGCGCCTTGTCTAAGTCTGAGGGTGGTGCCACCTCTGATGGATGCTGAGGTATGGAGCCTCTGTCATCTATGACCAGACATATGGGGCAGGCAGAGATACACAAAGGCCTGCAATGGGAGCAAACACAGGCTCTGCACAGGAGCCTCCGGTGGCCTCGGGGCCAAACGTCACTGTGTCCAGCGGGTGGGGGAGCTCCAGGCTGCCGGCAGCCGGCCGTCCTACACGTCAGGCTAGAGGAGCACCCGTGGCTTCTCTGGCTGGGCCTGAGGTGGGAGTGATGTGGGGAGGGTGGTGGTAAACAATCAGAGAAACTGGCAGTGTGGACCAAGTCCTGACCTCGGGGCAGCTGCTGCAGAGGCCCTGGCCAGAGTCCCATGGGCATCCTCAGTCCGGCTGGGGTTGGGGTGTCCCTGGAGGGTCCGTGTCCCTGGAGGGTCCGTGTCCCTGGTGGATCCGTCTCCTGGAGGGTCCATGTCCCTGGAGGGTCCATGTCCCTGGTGGATCCGTCTCCTGGAGGGTCCGTGTCCCTGGTGGATCCGTGTCCCTAGTAGATCCGTCTCCTGGAGGGTCCGTGTCCCTGGCGGATCCGTCTCTGACCGCGCGTGCTCTTCACCATGGAAGGAGGTGCTGGTAGCCAAGCCGCCCTCCCCAAGTGGGCGTCCACTTTGAGGAAACGCGTGTGTGAGTCCCCTTGTTGGCTGGGTGTCTCCGTCTAAAGGGACAGCTGGAACTCCCCACAGTACAAGGTCTCACCAGGGCCCCTCAGATCCCACACAGCTGCAGGGATGTCCCTGCTGCCCGAGGTCTGGTGAGAGGCTTGATGGAGGATTCTGCCAACCCCCACCTCAAAACCCTCACAGCAGCTGCATTTTGAGGTTTTGTTCAATTTTATTTGCAGGTCTTCAAAATGAAAAAAATTTATATGTACCAGGCCAGGTGTGGTGGTGGCTCATGCCTGTAATCCCGGCAGTTTTGGAGGTCAAGGTGGGCAGATTGTTGAACCCAGGTCTTTATGGCCAGCCTGGGCAGCGTAGTGAGACCTCACCTGTACAAAAAATTAAAACGTAGCGAGACACGGTGGCAGGATCGCTTGCGCCCGAGAGGTCAAGGCCGCAGTGAGATGTGATCGCACCACTGCACTCCAGCCTGGGTGACAAAGTGAGTCATTTCTCTCTCTCTCTATCTATATATATAATCCAGTGAATCTAAAGCATTTCCACGTTAAAAGTCACAAGGATCATTTCAAAGGAAAAATGGACCTGAGCTACTCTCTGCCTCAGCTCAAGACCCTGCTGGGGAAATCGTTAGGTGGAGCCTTTGCTGGAAACAGCACCATCAGGTCCGCCTGTGCCCCAGCGCCCGGGGAACACAGGCATCCCTCCCCTCCGGAGGGCCTCCCCAGGCGGTAGAGACCAGTGCATTAGGCAGAGGCCTCGGTCCTGCCCGGATCTGCCATCTCCTCGTTGTGTGGGTTCCAACCTTGCTTTAATAGCTCCCACACCATTACCAGGAAATGGATCCACTTACTCTGTGCGGATGAGAATTCCATTAATGTTCGCTCTGACCTTTGCTAATCCCAGCGTCATTCGCAGTGCCTCCATCTCAAAATCTCCTTAATGCCAAAGGCGGTAATGGGTGTCTGCTGTGCCTGCCTAATGAGCTGTAAAATGAACCAGTGGGTGATTTGTTTCTTGCCGTCAAGACCCTGGTTAAGTGACGGCCAGGACGGTGGAAGGAAGGCCGGGGGTCCTGTCCCCCAGACGGCACTCCAGACATCAGGCTCTCGGATCACAATTGATTCAAAGGTAAAAACACGTTCATGCACACACCTGGTTTTCCATTCTCTTAACATTTTTTTCTCCATAATTAGTTTCTCCAGCATCATCTTGGGAGAATGTTGACGTCACTGATCTTGGTTTCTCGGATGGTGATGAATCTGGGCAGGGGGCTGGAGTGGAACCTGCCAGCCCCTCCTCAGCCCGGGCGCCCGACCTCAGCTCCCTCCAGCCCTGGACTCTGTTTTCTTCCAAGACTGGGCCCTGCTTCCCTGCACCACGGTCCGCCTGGATCCTGCACACCCAGCCCGGTGGCTCCTGCCCACTCAGCGGGGCCCTGACGCCCTACATCTCCTCTGTGAGCAAAAGCTCTCTTGTTGTTAGAGAGACTTGCGGAAGCCACACACCCATAGACCGTTACTTCTACACATTCTTTTTATTTCACACAGATCTGCATCCCTTGAAGTACTCACGGGGACGTATTCCGCATGGTTTCCATCTTAGTGCACATAGAACACGGTTTTAACTTACAATCGGCACTGTCTTCTCAAGATCTGTCACTTTGAAAACGTCATTGCCAATAATTGTACATATTGCGTTAATTTCCTAAATCACTATTCACCATCCATCCTTCAAATGCTGAAAACACTCTCTTGATTCCCAATTTAAATACTTTTACAGGCAATACCACAAATGCCTTTAGAAATGGAAGTTTGTCTTCTTCTTGTTATTTTTGTCTCTTGTTTCTTCCATCGAATAATGGCCTTGTCGAGTTGGTGAGAGTGAATCACTTGTGAGTCTTGATTTCCAAAGAGGCTGAGCAGATTTACAAGGCCACAAACACCTACTTCAGATGAGACCTTTGGGGTCTCTCAGGAGGGGCGAGAGACAGAGCCGGTGACTCGCTGGGCGCTGACAGGACCCGCAAGGGTTGGTTCGTCAGTATCCACCACCCCCTTCCTCTCGCTGATGCTGCTCTGAATCTGACACTGTGGATTGGTTCGGCTGCTGTAGGATTTTCTACAAACGGAACATGGACAGGTCCTCTTTGGGTCCGCCCTTTGGTCTCAGCATCATGGCTGAGACAAGTCCTGTCGTAGCTATGTCAGAGTGGCGGGGTCCTCACTTCTCACTCCTGTCCAGATTCTCCTGTGTGTACCCCACAGGCTGTGCACCCGCTCTGCCATCAGTGGGCATCTGGGGCGCATGGCAGACCATGTGCATGTCGGCCATGTGAGCCCATGTCCTGGTGTCCACCCCATGCAGCCTGTCCCGGGGGTGGCCTGAGGCTGCCTTGCCTCCCCTGGGCTGAGGCTGGGACACCTGTGGCCTGTCTTACCCTTTTGCTGGCGTCCTCTGGGGAGTATCCAGAAGTGAGGGGCCCCACGGAGAGGCGCATGCAGCAGGAACCCCAGGCAGTGCCGGCAGCCCCAGGAGAGAATCCCACCAGCCGCCATGCGAGTGAGCTTGGAGACCACGCAGTCGGGAGAGGCCGCCCGGCCACAGAAAAAAGTCGTCCTGTTGTTCAGGATCCAGGCCAGGGTCATCTGCTGAGCAGCAACAGACAAGGAAAACCGCCGTTACGGGCACTGCTGCCATCTCGCAATTTACATAAAGTCTCAGCTCTGTGCGTGGGACAGCAGCGTTTGAAGCTGTCCCCATCAAGGGCCTGTACAACCACCTCCTTCACAGTTAGGGGTTGGCCGTCCTGAGGCTGCCCGACCCCCTCCCGGCTCCCCGACCCCCTCCCGGCTCCCCGACCCCCTCCCGGCTCCCCGACCCCCCTCCCGGCTCCCCTTGTCTGGGAAGCAGCTCTCTCCAGTGTAGCCACTCAACACGGCTGGTTTCATTGCAGCAGCGCACGCCCACCTGTGGCCACCCCGGCCTCCTCCCCGACACCCACACGGAAGGCCGTGTCCCCTCCCCTCCGTGTCCTGGGCGCAAAGGGCGCCCGGAGTGCCTGCGTGTGGACGCACAAGCCCAGGGCCACGGCGCTGCAGGGCAGCCCTTTTCTCACTGCAAGCCTGCACCCTTCTCTCACTGCTTTCCAGGGGGAGCTCTCTCAGGTCCAGAGCCCCACGGCTCACACCTCCTCTCCTGCCTCTGGCTTCCTGTCTTCAGGAGGATATTTCAAGTTCCAAGAAGGTACTCAGTAACTTCTTTGACTAATATTATGTTGAGAAATGATCATTTTACTTTCAGGTGCTTTTTAAAAGCTACATTCACAGAAATTTTAAAAAATCTCAATATGCGGTCATCTGCGTTTTCTGCTGGGGCACGCTTCAGTTCTGTGTTGGACACTGCGGAGAGTAGAGGGCTGGGCACAGCATCTGCACGGAGCCGGGCGCAGCACCTGCACGTGCAGACAGGGGAGGGCCCCTGGAGGGCTCAGCTCCCGCGTGAGGGTCCAGCCTGGACACAAGGTTGAGACGCACATGGGGACAAGTGGGAGGTATTGGGTGGGGCACAGGGGCTAGGAGGCCAAGGGCTTGCTCCTGGAATTCTATACAGGCCTGCAAACCCTGCTCAGTGGAACACCACACCAGACACAGTTCTGGGGCTGGAGGAGCCGCAGCCACCCCGGGACCCCCACCATCCTGGCATCAAGGGCCTCAGACTCTGCTCTCTGTAAGCTCCCTCTGGAGGGAGCAGAGCCAGTGAGATCTGGAGAACAGAGGGTACCTGGGCCCTTCCTGGAGAGTGGGGGACACTTCGTGTTCGTGGGAACGTCCAGCTGCCATGAGGGTCCCTGGGGCAAGCTGGAGGTACGTGCGGAGAAGGGGGCCAGCTCCTCTCAGGCAGCCCACTCCAGCCTATCTGTGACACTGGCTTCACGAGGGGAGTGAGGAGAGGGATGCGGGCCCTTAGCAAACCAGGAAGCCTGAAAAACACCTATTGACAAGAGCGGGTCAGAGGAGCTGGGGAGACGGCCCAGGTCAGCCCAGTTCAGAGGGAGAGGGCCCAGGTCAGCCCAGTTCGGGGGGAGAGGGCCCAGGTCAGCCCAGTGCGGGGGGAGAGGGCCCAGGTCAGCCCAGTGCGGGGGGAGAGGGCCCAGGTCAGCCCAGTGCGGGGGGAGAGGGCCCAGGTCAGCCCAGTCCGGGGGGAGAGGGCCCAGGTCAGCCCAGTGCGGGGGGAGAGGGCCCAGGTCAGCCCAGTGCGGGGGGAGAGGGCCCAGGTCAGCCCAGTGCGGGGGGAGAGGGCCCAGGTCAGCCCAGTGCGGGGGGAGAGGGCCCAGGTCAGCCCAGTCCGGGGGGAGAGGGCCCAGGTCAGCCCAGTCCGGGGGGAGAGGGCCCAGGTCAGCCCAGTCCGGGGAGAGAGGGCCCAGGTCAGCCCAGTCCGGGGGGAGAGGGCCCAGGTCAGCCCAGTGCGGAGGGAGAGGGCCCAGGTCAGCCCAGTGCGGAGGGAGAGGGCCCAGGTCAGCCCAGTCCAGCTGAGGCTCTCGGAGGACAGGACCCGCCCCGCGCTGCCAGTGCCGAAGCTTGGGTTCTCTGAGGACTGCGAGGGGGTCTCAGCACTGTGTCCACAGATGGGGCAGGGACCTCCGCAGGGAACCTTCTCTCGGCTGGGCCAGCCCACCCCAGGGGCTGTAGACGAGGGAGTTAATGAACACGGGATGGGTTGAGCCGCCTGGTTTGCCCACAGAGGGGCGAGGAAGGGAGTGGGGAGTCTGCTGTGAGCGGAGAGAGGACAGCCTGAGGCCTCAGGAACGCTGGCTGCCTGCCTGCAGCGGGAGCTAACGGGGCGTCTGTCGGGAAGGGGCACGGCCACAGGATTTAGGGGCAGTTTGGACACACTGGTCCGGTGAGCTTGATTTCAGATTCCGGGATCTGGTTTCGGAGTGGAGTTGTGGACTCTCCAGGACCCATCGCTGAGGAGCAGGAGGTTCTCCAGGGGCCATGGGGCCCGGGGCTCTGAGGGAGGCTCTGCACTCCCAGCATGAGGTCACCACAGGGCTAGGCCAGGGCCCAGACACAGCAAGCCACCAAGAGGAGGCCGGCCGGCGTGGAAGCCTCGCAGAGGGTGAATTCCAAAGAGGGCCCCTCCTGCTCTGAGACCCACACTCCCGAGCCACACTCAGCAGGTGACGTGCAACAAGACCCTTAGGGTTAGGGTTAGGGTTAGGGTTAGGGACCCCAGGCTCCATGCATGCCAGGGAGAGGCAGCGGTGTGCGAGGGCCTCCTGGTGCCTGGCAGACCAGGAGTGAATTTTGGCTGTCACCTTCTCTGAGTTACTCCAGTGTAGAGAGGCAAGGCCTGGGTCCAGGGTTGTCTCAGTCTCAGTGCAGCCCCTCAGAATGGGGGGCCCATGCCTAGCACCCTGGGTGGGGAGGAGCAGGCAGCTAGCTGGAGCTTCTGGCCCTTTTAAAAGAGGCCCCATTCCCTGGGCCTCGAGGGAGTGGCTGTGCACATTCAGACATGCACTGACCCATGTACACACACACATACACGCACACGTGTATGCACACTCACACGTATATTTGTACATACACATGTGCATACATCCACATGTACAGGTACACACAGGTATGCACGAAGGAGGTTCCCAAACCCTTTCTGCACCCCTTAGCTGCCTTCCAAAGGGACACGTCCTGATTTCCCTGTGGTGGGACACTGAGCATGCCCAGCTTCTGCGGGGCCAGGTGACGCACACGAACTCAGGGTCTGCTGAGGCAGGTGCATTGGCGACGGTGGACAGCAGAGAAGTGGGATGCCTAGCGGCAGGGGCTCTGCCCTCACAGCTCCTCTGCCAGGCAGGGACCAGGTCCCGCTGTCAACCAAGGGAAGCCAGGCCCTGGCCACCCGGCCCTGCATTTCAGAGGGGGCAGCACCCAGTGTTCTGGGGTCTCAGTTACTGAATGAGCCTGGGCACCTGCCTGCCCTCTCTGGCCTCAGTTTACCCCCTGTACTGCTGGGCGAGGGATCAGGGCATAGCGAAGGACCATTTCAGCTCCGCTGGTGCCACACTGCTGAAGTCCTGGCCGCTTTTTCCTGCATCCTGGGGTTTTCTGACAAAAGGGGAGCATGTTAGTGCTTGAAATGGCCTCACCTCTTGCTATTTTTGCAGGAAGCCTGAACGCAGTTGTTAAAAATAGAAATAATGAAGGAAAGCAGCAGCTTCTGCCCTTGAGTCCTGAGGCCAGGACAGGACTCCCAGGATCCTCTCCAGGCTTGTGATGATAAATGATCATTGGGCTGCATTTGTCCTTAGCTAATTTATCCTTGGCCTAGAGAGAAAGTTTCTGCCTTTTTTTTTTTTTAAGAGGAAAGCTGGAAAGGTGCTTGAGGCCTAATAACTTTGCTTGGTCTTTTTTGGGCACTGGGCCCTGCATTTTCCACCTGGCAATGCTGTGTGGGGCTTCTTCCAGGCACTCTGTGGGCCTCATGCCGCCTGTGCTGGCCGGAGCCAGCGTGGCGATCAGACGTCTGGGTGTGCCCGGCACGACCCCACCTCGCCGCTCCCCTGAGCTGTCCTTCCCCTGCAGAGGGGCCAAGAAGCACCCCTGGGAGGCCATTAGTGTCAGCAAGAAAGGTACGGCAGGGCGGGGCCAGGACAGGGTGAACAGGACCCCAGCGCTTGGTGGCCACGAGTCCCAGCTCTGGGAGGAACAGGCCTTGAGGATGCAGAGAGGTTTGCATTGGCAAAAGTCTCGGCATCTCTCATTTTTCCCGTACATGCACCACCACCGCTGCTTCCTGCTGTAGCCCCTCTCCGCCAAGAGGCATTCCCAGCCCCCAGGACCATAGAGAGGGGCAGGGGTCTTCAGCGTGGCTGAGGGCCACCGCCTGCGGCACGTGGGAGGAAGCTGCCAACTACCCCCATCCCCTGAGCTGAAGTCTCCTTGCATCTGGGCCTTGATTTTTTAATGCGAGATGCAGCTCAAGGCTTGCGGTCATACTTCTGTCTTCAGGTGCGAAAACTGCGTTTTCTTCTTGAGTTCCGTGTTTCAGGGAGAGAATCGTGAAGAAACAGACTAAAGGACTTTGTTGCAAGCTACAGTCATGAAGAAGGACACGTGGGTGAGGCTGGGAGCCCGGGGAGCCTGGTGTCAGCCCCAGTCCGAACAGCGGAGCCAGCAGGAAGACCCTGCCTCTGTGAGTGTGTGGGGTGCTTTGGAGATGGGGGTGTGTTTAGATTTTGTCTCTTCCATGTTATTCCCATGGCAGGCTCTGCACCAGTCCCCGGCGCTGCCTGCGGCATCTGATTCTGCCGGCGCTGCCCGCTTAGCTTATGGGTATGCAGAAGATCTGCATCATGGTTCCTGCTGAAGAAGGGAGTGTGTGGCTGTGTGTGTGTGGCTGTGTGTGTGTGCGTGTGCACAGGCATGCACACACCTGTGTTTACATGAACACATATGAATACAGTGTATGTGTACACACACAAACACGTGTGTGCATGTGAGGTACATGCATGTGCACATTTGCTTACATGTACGTGTGTGTGTGCACGTGCATACACATGTGCGATTGGCAAGTGTGTGCATGCATATGTATATGGGCACATATATGTACAGGCATGTATGCACGTTTGTGTGTTTGGTGTGTCTATATATGTACGTGTATATGGCCACACACGGATACAGGTATGTATACACCTGTGCATGCACGCTTGCCCAGACACACAACTGCACACCTCCCTGCCCTGCACCCTGCCTTTGGGCTCTCCATCGTTGCTGCTGGCTGATAGGTCTTGAAAGGCCCAGGCTGGTGAGTAAGTCCTGCCCCTCAGGTGGGCAAGACTGGGAACAGCCTATCTGGCCTTCTTCAGGTTTCCTCTCTCAGCCTGGAGGAGGGCAATAATGATGCAATTTCTTACAATAATGATACCTTACATTGCATAATCGTTCGGGTCACTCAAAATATTGAAAACAGTAGCACAGAAAGGTTAAAGGGTTCCACAGCAACTCAGCAGCACAGCCAGCACCACGAAGTCGGCCACCGCCCCACACTTTAGTCAGTTGGGTGACCTGGCCGGCCCTGGGAGGACGCCTCATTCAGCTGAAGCTCATCCACATCCACGTCAGGGGGCTCCTTGGTGTCCCGGAGATGCTGCCAGCTCCCAGCCCCAGGACGGGTGTGAGGCTGTGGCCCACGGGGTAGGTCCCACCAGGGTCTGAA
Source organism: Homo sapiens (assembly GCF_000001405.40). Classification (NCBI taxonomy): domain Eukaryota; kingdom Metazoa; phylum Chordata; class Mammalia; order Primates; family Hominidae; genus Homo; species Homo sapiens. The sequence goes on from NT_187558.1 coordinate 136,275, forward strand.
ACAGTTCCCTGAGGTGCAGGGAGGTGGGAGGCAGTGAATCCTGCTTTGAAAACTGACTTCAGCTGTTCAGGGTGGGTGGGGCGTGGGCTCAGGGGTGCAGCTGACGCGTAGGTTGGCTCCAGCTATCACCCCAGATCTGGTCCATCCGCAACAGCAGCCTTGCGTGTGGGCTGAGCAGTTGGTTGGCCACATCCAAGCTCTGTTGGGAAAAGAAATCCACTGGTGCCTGTGGTAGGAAACCAGTGCCTCATCCTTGGGCCGGATCAGGTGATCTGAGGGGTGGGAACTGCTGCCCCCGGCTTGGCTGTTCTCCATAAGCCGGACAGGCCGACCCATATGCGCGTGTGTGTGAGCTCGTGGTGAGCAGAGCCCTCCCCCTTCAGCGGAGGTCTGTGACCACCTCCCCGAGCTCCTTCCCTCCCCAGGGCACCGCCGAGGCCTGGCTGACATCACGGGGTGTCCTGCCCAAGGCCCTGTGGTTACTGGACACACTCAACCTGCTGCCTCTGGCCTTTTCCTCACTTTCTAAACCTTCTCTCCACTTCCCAGGGAACTCCTCCTGCACAAGGCGTCTTGGCTCCTGCCCTGCTACACCGACCACGTCCCTCCCTCAGCCGGTCCCCGATACTGAGCACCTTAGAGGCAGCCACTCTTCGCAGGCCTGGTTACCTGTCTTGCACCATGTGCATCTCCTCCTGTGCATGGAGGAGGAAACCAAGGCTTCCAGCCCCAGAGCTCGCAAAGGCAGAGACCCCAGGCTCCCTGTGTGCTCCTGTGCATGGAGGAGGAAACCAAGGCTTCCAGCCCCGGAGCTCGCAAAGGCAGAGACCCCAGGCTCCCTGTGTGCTCCTGTGCATGGAGGAGGAAACCAAGGCTTCCAGCCCCGGAGCTCGCAAAGGCAGAGACCCCAGGCTCCCTGTGTGCTCCTGTGCATGGAGGAGGAAACCAAGGCTTCCAGCCCCGGAGCTCACAAACGCAGAGACCCCAGGCTCCCTCTGTGCTCCTGTGCATGGAGGAGGAAACCAAGGCTTCCAGCCCCGGAGCTCGCAAACGCAGAGACCCCAGGCTCCCTGTGTGCTCCTGTGCATGGAGGAGGAAACCAAGGCTTCCAGCCCCGGAGCTCGCAAAGGCAGAGACCCCAGGCTCCCTGTGTGCTCCTGTGCATGGAGGAGGAAACCAAGGCTTCCAGCCCCAGAGCTCGCAAAGGCAGAGACCCCAGGCTCCCTGTGTGCTCCTGTGCATGGAGGAGGAAACCAAGGCTTCCAGCCCCAGAGCTCGCAAAGGCAGAGACCCCAGGCTCCCCGTGGGCCAGGACCACTGGCCTTTCCCTCCGCTGCTTGGGGCGTCCTGCAGTACCGGGCTCAGGGATGGAACCCTCACGCGGAGCCAGGACGAGCAGGCCACACAGAGGGAATGCCGACCACGTCCCTGAAGCCACAGTGGTGAGGAGGGGACTGTGCACTTCAGTGTGAGGTCGGGAAGGCAGCGTCCTGCTCGGATTGTAGAAACGGGCAGAAACCCCGACGTGGTCTCTCCTCGGTTTAACCGAGAAGATGCTGAGGCCTGGTATCCACTGTCCTCCCTCCCGAAGGCCAGACTCAAAAGGAGGAAGTACAGGAGGATGGTGCAGCTGGGCTTGTCCCCTCACGGCCCCAGATGCGGCCTCCGCCACGGTGTGGTCTCTGCATGCAGGCCCCTCCATGCTGCAAGAGGTGGCGGGCTCTGGGGCCGCATCGCACCCCCGATTCGTGTCCTCCAGCCTGTTTCCTCGCCTTAGGTGGGACGCGATCACCCGCCTGCGGGGAGTCTTGCTGCCGTGCGACAGTGAGTAGAGGCCGGGCACAGGCCCACAGCAGGCGCTCAGCAAACGCTCACTCCCAGGTCCCCGTGTGCCCGTCTAAGAACCGCGAGGCTTCAGGCCTCCAGGAGGTGTCTTGCGGGGGCAGCCGCTCTGACGTCGCCTCTGCCCACTGTGTCTGGATCCCTCGTGAGGGGCCCCCAGACCAGAGGCAGCCGAAAGGTAGAGTCCAGATGCGGAGGGAAAGACGTGATCTCCGAATTCCGTGATGACAGGTGGGCAGCGGCAGCTGGAATTACACACCAGTCCCACAGCTGTGGTTTTAAGCACTAATATTTTACAGGTAAGAAGCTCCATCTCCCACGGCAGATTGCAACCGTCAGGGTTGTTAGATTCGTGCGGACCGGACGATGCGTCTAAAGGAAAACGGACCCAGGCAGGAACAGCAGCGGCCGCCCGAGTGTTGGCAGAAGCAGGCCTGTTGCTGAATTGTGACGTTTGTAGAAATCGCTGTTTTAGCCGCTGTTGGCTCCTCTCAAGCTCCTGACAGTGATCCCAAGATCTGCTGGGAAGCACCTTCCCCGGCGACTCCTCGGGGACACCGGCTCCAGCTGCAGCCTCAAGTGACCCCTTTGCCGGAGTCCAAGAAAAGAGAAGCTGCTTCCGTGGACTCTTCTGTCCCAGATGAAGCCGCAGCGGCAGGAAGTGGTAGCTGGCTGCTCTCAGGGTTTATTTGGTTGGGACAAGAGGTCCCAAAGCTGTCCTTGGGAAGGAGCTTAGGCGGGGCTGAGCTGATGTGTGCCTCGAGGAGCGGAGGGAGAGACAGGGCAGGAGACAGGGAGAACACGGTCCAGAGGCAGCGGGGAACAGTGGGAGGGAGAGCCGGGCCCTCTGCAACGCCGGCTGTGGGCTGGGACAACAGGGGAGGGTGAGGCAGTCCCAGCTCTCAAGGCCTCTGGCCCAGGATGAGGTGTGAGATGGCCAAGCTGCCGTGGGGCCGCCCGGGAGGAGGAGAAGCAAACCCATCAAGGAGGGCTCACAGGCGTGGTGATATCTGACGAGGCTCCTGAAGGGTGGGTAAGAGTTTTCCAGGAAGGGTGGTTGGAGGGAGCACTAGGCGAGTGGCCGGCACGAACCAAGGCCTCGGGTCCCCAGAGCCCTGTATGGGTCGCAGTTGGGTCTTCCCAGGTTAGGGTTGAGGTTCGGGTTATGTCTCTTCCACAGCCCTTGAGAGCAATAGGATTTCAGCAAATGTAGCTTGTGTGGTTTCTGATGGTCAGAAATAATCCACATTTTAGGATTTCTGTAATCCTGTACTTTAAAACTGGCATCACAGACCATTGCCCCTGCAGACAGCAGCCTGGGCCTCCAAATGGAGGGGCCTGCGGGGGGATGAGCTGTCCGGAGGGTCCACACTGGAGGAGGGGGCAGGCCACGGCCCGGCTGGAGAGCCTCTGTGCCTAGTGGGCCCCGGAGCCCCAGGTCCCTGGTGCAGGGGGTGGAGGTCAGGCAGGCCCTGGGCAGCTGATTGCTGCCTGAAGCCCACCCTGAGGAGGGAGGGAGGCAGGGGAGGAGACAGAACAGATCCCTTGGGGGAAGCAAACCCACATTCCCAGACCCAGGAGCGCCCACGTCAGGGGGACCCCAGGGAGGGCCAGCCCTGCGTGTACACCCCTCCTGCCAGGACCCTGCTTCGGAGGTCACACCAGCTCCTTGTGGAATGGTCTGTTGGAGCGGACCTGACCTGGAGAATCCACGCCTCTCACACATGGAGCTGGGCAACAGCTGGCACCCGCCCCCTCGGCCTCAGCCTCCCTGGGGGCTCCCCCGCCACAAGAGGGGCCGTCCCGGGTGCTTTGAGTGGAGTGAGCTAGAGAGTCGGATATTAGGGCCACCTAGGAGAGCCGGCCTTGTCCATCGCCTGGCCGGGGCTGGACTGACGTGAGCTGTCTCCAAGTCCAGGAGGAAACTCACAAACTCTGAGCTACACAGCAGGTATGAGTCCTGCTGCAACACAGTGCGCTTTAAAAAGTGTGAATAAATTGAAACTTCATGAAATAGCCTATATTTACAATATCCAGACAAAATTACCTCTTTTTGTCTTTTATTTATTTAGTTACTGAGAGAGGGTCTCGCTCTGTCACCCAGGCTGGGTGCAGTCACGGCTGACTACAGCCTCGAACTCTCAGACCCAGAGGTCCTCGTGCCTCAGCCTCCTGAGTAGCTGGGACCACAGGTGGGAACCACCAGGCCCAGCTAGAATGCTTTAAAAAGAGTCATCTAAGGCAGAGGTAGAAGTTACAGCTCTAGGGCCCAAGTCAGCCTCTGTTTTTGTCCAACAGAGGGCTAAAAATGATGTTTATATCTTTAAATAGTTGGAAAATCAAGAGACTATTTTGTGACATGTGAAACTTATAGGAAATTCAAATTTTAGCATCCATAAACAAGGAGATGTGGGGACACAGCCACACACACTCATCACGTGGGTCGAAGGCTGCTCTGGGCCACAGCGGCAGAGGTGAGCGTTTGCACCAGAGGCAGAGTGACCTCGAGGCCTGAAGCACACCGTCCAGCCCTTCACAGAGCGGCGTGCCAGCCCAGCTCTCGGGCTCCCTGGCAAGGCTGGAGCCGCAAGGGGCTCGAGTTTCCCCTGCCCGCAGCCCCCATAACTGGAAGCTGGCTCGCCCAGTGCCCTGATCCCACCCGCCGGCCCCTTCCTGTCCACACATCCCCGCTTTTCCCTGGAAGCCTTTGGTGACAAGTGCAGACACTCTGCCCCTCATCGTCTGGGGTCCTTGGCCGCCTCTCACCTGTCCCCCAGGTGGCAGGTGAGGCCCTCGGGTCCACTCTGAAGGTGATGGGCTGATGCTCCAGGCCGGACATCAGGCTCCGTGACAGCTGGTTCTACACCGTCTTCTCCGGCTGTCCCTGGGGTCACGCCCCTCTCCTGCTGCAGAAACTTGGGTTTCCTCCGTGAGGCTTAAATGAGAGCAGCCTCAGGACAGATGTCCAGGAAAGGCCAAGAGAACTCAAGCTTGACTGTTCCTCAAGCCTGCTCTTGACAGACAGAAGTGGGTTGGGTGAATCTGAGGAAGAGGGGAGAGGGCCTCGCCCCATGGGGCAGGCTTGTTACCGTCAGGACGGGGCTGCTTTGGGTGCTGAGTCCTGGAAGCCGCTCGGACCCATCCATGACTTCTTATGTGTGCTGTCGGCAGCTGACCAGCGGCCACGCTATCCTGGACGCGTGGGGATGGAGCTACGGGGAGGGTGCGGTGGTGACTGCTCCACTGCAGAGCCAGGTATCGCCAGGGGCGCCAGGTGAGACCCAGCAGAGACACAGGTGGAAAGGAGTGAGTCCTCCAGGGTCCCCTGAACAGTCAAGTTCCACCCATTCAGTAGCTTCAAAAACAGGCTCACGATTTGGTGTGGGCCCTGGTCTCCAGCTGGGTTCCCTCACCTTACGGCTCCCCATGGTCACCGGCAACCCAGCATCCCACACTCTGGATGGGGGTCAGGAGTGGAGGCGACAGGAGGCGAGGAGGCGAGTGGGCGGCACAGACAAGGAGGGAGCCCACCCCTGCTCTAGACAGAGTTTAGGAGTGGAGGGGACCGAACAAAAGGAATCGTCTTCATTTCACCTTCTGGTAAGAACAGGCTTTAGCCAAGGAAAGGAGGGGTGGACGTGCAAAGCCCTCCCGTGCGGGAGCCCTGGGACAGAGGAACCATCCCACAGCCCCCCGGGAGCCGCCGATCCCCCCGACACAGCCCCCCGGGAGCCGCCGATCCCCCCGAGACTGGCCTGCACCTGCACATCTGGGGGGCGGGGCCCCGAATTGTCCTGCCACAGTGGCCCCGCCGGCAGGGAGATCAGAGGAAGAAATAAAATCCTCAGGCCTCACCTGGGATCCAGATTCGAGGCCGGAAGAGCAGACTTTGCCGGGGGCACTCACGCAGATCCCCACGTCTCAGGGCACCGCAGTCCTATTACCATAAGCGATCATGCAAAGGTGTGGTAAAAGCCATCTGTCATTCATAAAATGTGATGATGCCTTTCTGCAAAGACATAAGCCATCCCGGGGCTCAGCCAAGAAATGGCCATAAAATCCGGCATAATGACCTCAAAGCACACTTTCCAATATAAAGAACTTTCTAGGCAGCTGTTTCCAGAATTTATCTGTGTGCAATAATTTTACACCTAAAACTATCACTGTGTTCTGTGTCTGGTGGCCTCTTTAGCAGTTCCTCCCCTGTAACAGCAAGAAAGTGCCTTCAACATGCTGATGGGCCCCGGGTCAACATGCTGATGGGCTCCGGGTGACCAGTGACAGCATCAGGTTCGCTTGACAATGGCTTTGCCGTCGGACACAGGCGCAGGTGCCTGGGGAGGTGCCGTCTGTCTTTGTGATCCCCCAGGTTGCCAGGAAGGAGGAGCTCATGCCTCTGTTGAGAAGAGCAGGTTTTGTCTTGGTTGGACTCAGAGACCCTGAGAGCAGGATTTTCCCTCCCAAGCGCTCCCCAGGGGGAGACCCCTCGGGCCAGGACTCCCAGGGCCCACACAGAGCCTGGTGTTCGGAGGACAGAGCCTGTGGGGACCAAGGGCAGGCACAGCTGGGCTCGCACCGACAGCTGGGGAGGGAGGGGGAGCTGGAGCCTGAACTGACCCCTTTGGTGGTGGGGTTGGTGGGGTACAGGGAGTCAATGGCCCAGCCCCAGCGACAGCACAGCAGCTTCCCCAGGAGGAAGGGGAGGCTGAATAGGAGAGAGAACCCCACCTCCTCCACACCTGAGGCCGTAGCCCGAGGCTTTCACTCCAGACCCAGGCATGTACGGGCTCTGATAAGAGGTTCCCTGTAATTTATCCTCACTTGAATCTCAAATTTGCTTCTAAATATCCAATCTTTTTTGTCTAATGTATGCGTTTTCATCCCTAATCACCAAACCTGTAGATTACACTCATGCATGAAATATTTGGTGAATACCTTTTAATTTTACAAAATGTCTCCTTCTGAAATTACTCCTCCGCACCCAGGAAAAAACAGAATGATGTCACTGCCAACTTCGAGGTAAAAGTATTTCGCAAATCTTAACAATTTTAGCTTCTACATGCACGTTAGGAAGTGTTGATGGACACAGGATCATACTCTACCTATTGGAGGAAGGAGACGATTTAATTGATCATGTCTTCAATTCCTGTCCCCACCCTCCCCGGGCCCCTCTGTCCTGGGGGGCCGTGGCCTCGCGATGATCTAGGCTGTGACAGAGGAGCACCCAAATCCTCTTCAGATTCCTTTCAACTCGGCTGTGACGTCTGCGTCTTCATAAGAAAGGACGTGTTTCCGAGCGGCCACTGAGAACTACAGGCAGGCCGACCGGCAAACCACCCACAGCCAGCACCGGGAGCTGCAGAAGCCACGGGGCCCTCACAGGGGTTCTCTGTCTCCTCCATGGAGGTGCTCCCTGTCTATCTGCTGGGCCCGCTCACAGGGCCCCTCCACGGATGGTGCCCGGCCTCCCTCACGTCCTCGAGGCGTCCCTCGGTCAGGTACTTAGAATCTGCGTCTCCCACCTGCTTTTCCCAAGGCTGCAGCTTCCCCTGGACAAGAGCGGAGCCTGGGCTCCCAGTGCCAGGTTACTAGCCCAGGACCTGGCCCCTGGCAGATGCTGGGCATAGGCTTATGAGAGGACTGAAGTGGCTGTGTCTCCACGCAGCCGACAGCTTCACGAGAGAGAAGGGGAGGTCAAGGCCAAGATCCAGTGACAAGAGGACCAGAGCCCCATGACTAGCAGGCCACAGATGGCAGCTAGTTTAGTCCTCACAACAAGGTGAGAGCCAGCAGCTCCCTCCCACAGCAGGAAACTGAGCTCTGAGAGATTCCCTGACATGCCCAGTGCCGTCTGGCTGGTGAGGGACAAGCCGGACCTAGCCCCCATGTGCTGGCTCCAAGCCCACCCTCAGCCCAGCCCCTCCCACAGCGCTGGCCTTTCCTTCCCACACCCCAACTGCTGCCTCCAGCACGGGGACCCCCAGGGAAGGGCAGGACCCTGGGAAGCAGATGTGGGCTTCTTGTTCCTAAGTGTCCAGAATTCCAAGATGGCTTAAACCCAGCATAGGGCTGAATGGGTGAGGCTGGCGAAGAGGTCAAGTTTCTCTGTAAAAATAGTGACCACAATAATAGCAACGTGTGCTTTGTAGCAAAGACTCACTGAGACTCTGCGTGCAAAGTGCTAAGGCCGGCCCAGCTTGCGGCCACGCCAAGTGCCGTCTGCTGTGGGGCCAGCTCCTCCCTCCTCCTCCAGTTCCTCGGGCTGTCTGGTCTGGGGATGTGGCTTTGGGGCTCGGTGGCCTGCAGCCCATCCCCTTGCCTTCAAGGGCCCCTTAGGGCACAGAGCACCCCGTCAGGTAGCATCCCCAGGACGCGGGGCCGGCTGAATCCCTGGGTGCTGTGCCCTCTGCTCTGCCTTCTCCGGGGCCCCCGGCAGGATTGGCCTCCCCGACTCCGGCAGGAACTTGGTGCGGCTGTCCCAGCCCTGGGCATCTTCTCCCTCAGGCTGCGGCCTCACAGGGCCCACGAGGGTCAGAAAGCAGAGGTCTGGCTGTTTTGATTTTTGGGTTTTTATTGAGACAGGGTCCAGCTGTTGCTCGGGCCGGGCTGCGGTGGTGTGATCACCGCTCACTGCAGCCTCGGTTTCCTGGGCTCAGGAGATCCTCCCACCTCAGCCCCCTGAGAAGCTGGGACTACAGGCACGCACCACCACGCCCGGCTCATGTTTTTATTTTTTGTAGAGATGGGGTCTCCCTCTGTTTCCTCAGCTGCTCTCGAACTCCTAGCTCAATCAGTCCACCCACCTAGGCCTCTGAAAGTGCTGGGATGACAGGTGTGAGCCCCTGTGAGCCCAGCCCCTGGACTTTTTTTGGACTCTTTCATATAACTAATATGTAGGCCTGGAAGTCTGGTCATTGCTTTAAGTAGTTTCTTGGTAGAGAACTAAGAATTCTATGTTTGAGAGGCCGTAGGGGCCACATCTGACCCACTTCCTTCTAACTAATTTTTGTTTTTTTTGAGACAGAGTTTCTCTCTTGTTGCCCAGGCTGGAGTGCAGTGGCGTGATCTTGGCTCACTGCAACCTCCACCTACCAGGTTCAAGCGATTCTCCCACCTCTGCCTCCCGAGTAGCTGGGATTACAGGCATGCGCCACCATACCCGGCTAATTTTTGTATTTTTAGTAGAGACGGGATTTCTCCATGTTGGTCAGGCTGGTCTCGAACTCCTGACCTCTGGTGATCCACCCGCCTCGGCCTCCCAAAGCGCTGGGATTACAGGCGTGAGCCACCGCACCGGGCCCAGGTAGAACTATTTTTAAAGCCAGCTTTTGTTCATTATACCACACTGTGTCTACGAACAATCTGTAGACTGTGTGCTCGTGTGCCTGTGCACCGGTGTGTGTGTGTGGATGCCGTGAACAGACTCTAGATTATCTGCCTTTTGGAATTTCCCGACATTGTGTGACCATCAGAACATGATCAGTGTTGCGAATGCTCCATGTGTAACGGACTGTGAGTCCTGTGTTTGACGGATACAAAATAAAGTCAAGCTTTTACATTGTTTTATTCTTGTGTTTTCGGCTTCTTGATCGGTTGCTTTTAATGAAAACGAATGAGTTCTATTTTCAAAGACCCTCAGACGGTGGGTGGGGAACGGATAGCCCAGGAGTCCAGCGTTGGGGCGGACTGGCCGGCGGGCCAGCGACAGCAGCCGGAGGGACGAGCACGACCCTCCCCAGCCACCCCGCGTCCCCCGAACCCAGCCCAGCAGATGCAGAGCTCACATTTTCTCCTGCTAGCGGCTCTCCCGGCTCCCCTGTGAGCCCCGATAGCCAGGCCCATTGCCCGTCAGCACCCACAGCCAAGCGGGAGGCCTGGGGAGGAAGGAATATTGTCCCGTTCTGGCTTTGCCGGCCAGGATTAGAATTGCACGCGGCGCAGCATCTGGCGCCCGCTGGACGCTCAGTAAGGACAAGACGGCTCTCCTCCTCCTGCCACCCAGAGCCCCAGCCTCCTCCCAGCACCCCCAGGCTCCCAGAATAGGCTACGGCCAGAGCTGGCCTGTGGTAAACAGCTCGGAGCCTCCGGGCAGGTCTTGGATGAGTAACCCTCAGCAAAACATCGTGGGATCCAGAAAGGTGCAGGTGCCAGGCCTGAGCTGGGTGGGCCCCTCCAGCACCCCCACCTGGACCCTCCGCTGGGCCACTCCAGGCCAACGCATGGGTGGAGGTGCAGGGGGAAAGCCAGCTCTTGGGCTGCGGTGCCCGCCTCTGCCCCACCTCAGGAGGCTGGGACGTCCCCGATCTGTGTGGGAAAGAAAACCCGTCATCCTGTTGCTGATGGGGCCTCAGCGAGTCGTGGGGGGCCCCTGGGAGGAGGTGGGAGGCACATAAAGCTCCATCTGCTCGTGGACTGCACACTCCCTGGCCACAGCTCCCAGGAGGGCTTTCTCCTCCACACCATCACGCACCCCAAACTTTATGGCCCAGCATCCCTTTCCCACCCTTGTCCATACATCGCGGTGCCCCCTTCACAGAGAAGCGTTGCATGAGTTCCTTCAGTTCTGTTCCAATATCCCCTGCGCAGCCATGCAGACAGGCTTCCTTCTTTCCCCTTCTTGCGCGAGCGACACGGCTCTACACGTCCTCTTATACCTCGCTACTTACGCACGGCGGCCTCTTTCTCCTGGGAAGATCAGTGGCGGCTCCAGCCAGGCCAGCTGGCAGCTCAGGGCTCAGGCGCTGGCTCATCTGAGGAGCCCTGGGCTCCAACCAGCTGCTGGGCAACGCTGGGACGACAACCTCTCCTGTCCTAAAGGGCAGGAGGTACTGCGGCTTCTTCCCCTGCCACAGTCCCAGGGACCTGACGGGGACACTCAGAGACTCTGTCTCTGCCTCCTGTGCGGGGTCATGCTCTGCCTGGAAAGCGCCTCCTTCCTTCCTGGCCCATTGGGAAATCGCAGTGTCCTCTGGCCGGTCCCAGCACCCCCGGGTGGGACCCCAGCGACCCTGCACCCCCCCACTGCAGCCGTCTCCCTCCTCCTGGCAGGGCAGCTGCCAAGCCTTGCCCAGTCCAGGTCTCCCCAGGCAGGATCCCTTGGGGGAAACCTGAGGAGGCAGCTGTTCCCCCACTCCCAGAGTGTCCTCAGAGAACCCCTTCCAGACCCCAAGCTCCAGAGCTCGGCCTCAGGTTCCCTTGCTCGGGTCTGGGAACTGGAAGTCGGTCCCGCTCCCCTCCCTGGCCTCTGCCCCATTTTTCTGTCCGCTTCCACGTAGAGCAGACCAGAATATGCCACCCCAAAATATGCCTCTTTGGCATAAGCATTATTTTGAGCTGCTTATTTTGAGAAACTGCAACCACAGGAGAAATTCTGAAAACAAGAGTGGAAGCTGCTGTTCTATGAGAGAAAGTCACATCCGTACAGGCATCTGCGCTCACCAGGGTGCCCCCTCTCTGGGCCAGAAGGCCGCCTGTAAGTCACCGGAGACGCTCATCCATGGAGAAGGCCTGACCCCAGTTTGGGGTAATTTCTTGGGCCCCTCCCCACACACTCTTTCTCTTTGTTTCCGTCGAACATGGTCTTTAAGGCTGAGCTCCAAGCCACGCCTTTGCGACATAGCCTGTCCCGAGTCCGTCCCTTGCAGACCAAGGTATACATGCTATTAAGCTTCTGTTTTTCTCTTGTTATCTGTCTTTTCCACCTTGCAGCACGAAGCTTCCCCCAGGAATCCTCCACGCCCTCACCTGCACCAAGACTTTCAATTAAGAGCAGCAGTGCCCTCCTGGTGTCTGGTGGTGCCAGGGGGCAGGCCTGGTCCTCAGGCCTGGGGTCTTCTGTCCCCCCTTATCCTGGGGAGCCCATCTGTCCCCCTCATTCCTGGGAAGCCCGTCTGCCCCCCTCATTCCTGGGGAGCCCGTCTGCCCCCCTCATTCCTGGGGAGCCTGTCTGCCCCCCCCATTCCTGGGGGACCCATCTGTCCCCCCTCATTCCTGGGGATCCCATCTGTCCCCCTCATTCCTGGGGAGCCCGTCTGCCCCCCTCATTCCTGGGGAGCCCGTCTGCCCCCCTCATTCCTGGGGGGCCCGTCTGTCCCAGGGCTTTGCATACTGAGGCCTCGCAATCCACAAGCTTTCCTAATTCCCAGCTCATCCACATGACAACAGCCCTTCCCCGGGGGCTCTGGCCGACCTCCCTTCGTCCTCACCACACAGCTGCTCTCCCTGCCCCGCCCTTAGCCCTCCTTAGACCCATCCACCCGGCCCCTAGGTGAGCCTCTCCCGACCCAAGACCCAGCGTCGTCCCTCTGTCCCCAGCCTTCCCACGGCCCCCTCACTCAGGACGCAGCCCACAGCCTGGCCCCACCTGCAGACCTTACAGAGGCCACTTGGCCCCTCACACAATGCCCACCTCACAGGCCTTCTCTCCCCGCAGAGGGTCAGACATGCCCCTGCCCCAGCCTTGGCATTTCCACCCCGCAGGCCTCCACGGGGCTGAGCCCTCAGGTACCAGCTTCTGTGCAAAGCCATGCCTGGAGGCCTTCCTGGGCCACGTGGTCTAAGACAGCAATCCCCTCACACCCAGAGCAGGCAGCCCTCCCTGCCCGGGCCGTCTTATTTTCCTATGTCATTCCTGTCACCACCTGGCGCTCACCTTGGCTAACTGGAGCTCCAGCCCCTTTGGACGAAAAGAGCTCCCAGAGCCACTCCCTGGTCTCTGATGGGGCTGTGTGTCCTCTCCAGGTGCCCTCCCCGACAGCCAGCCCCTCCGCCTCTGCACAAGGGAGGGCCCAGGGAGGCTCAGGGCCTGTGTGGCTGTGTGTGTGTCTCTATGTGTCTGTGTGTCTGTGTGTTTCTGTGTATCTATGTGTGTATGTGAATGTGTATCTGTCCATGTATCTGTGTATATCTGTGTCTGTGTGTGTGTGTATGTCTGTGTCTGTGTGTATATCTGCGTCTGTATGTATATATGCGTGTCTGTGTGTATACGTGTCTGTGTACCTGTGTCTTCGTATGTCTATGTGTGTATTGGTGTGTGTCTGTGTGTGTCCATGTGTGATGACATGTGTATCTGTGTCTATGTGTGCATCTATGTATATCTGTGTGTATGTCTTTGTGTATCTATAGATCTGTGTCTATGTGTATATTATCTCTGTGTTCATCTGAGTATTGTATGTCCATGTGTGTCTACATGTGCCTGTGTCTGTATCTGTGTCTGTCTATGTGTCTATGTGTGTATCTGTGTGTCCGTGTGTGTGTGTCCATATATCTGTCTATGCATGTATCATCTGTGTGTCTGTGTATTGTGTATCCATGCATATATCCGTAACTATGGGTATGTCTGTGTGTGTTTGTGTCCACGTGTGTGTATCTGTGTGTGTCTATATATCTGTGTCTATGTGTGTGTCTGTGTCCACGTGTGTGTATCTGTGTGTGTCTATATATCCGTGTCTGTGTGTATCTGTGTGTATCTATGTGTGCATCTGTGTGTGTCTGTTTTCTCTTTGTTTTTATGGTGTCCACGGATGGGCCGACTGAACCACCAAATTCCTCCTCAGAGCCCAGTAAAGGCACCAGGCGGAAGGGTCTGGCGGAGGGTTGGCCGCTGTCTCCTCACTCCTCAGCGGGGTCCTGTCTTCCGACTTTTGTCTCGCGCCGCCGCAGCCTGTGGACTCCTGGGCCCTCCTCTGAGAGCCTGCGCTGTGCCTGGCCCCGGGCGGAACTTTGAACGAGGCTCCTGTCTTAACTCGACTGCTTGTGCTTGGGGGAGATAAACAATAAACAGGAGCAGAAGAAAGTGTCCTCAGACCACGGCGGGTGCTGTTGGGAAAACAGTGGCGGGGCAGGGAGGGGGGCGCTTCTGAAGGACCTGGCGAGGTAGAGGCCACTGTTCTAAGAGGCAACAGACGAGATGAACCAGGACCCTCTGCGAGGGAGGGAGGCGTCCAGGGGTGCACACGGGTCCAGATAGCTGCCGGGCTCCCAAAAACCACTCTGGGGGTGAGGATGGGAGGGGAGAGGAGTTGGGGGCAGGAGGCAAGTGAAAGTAAGTGCCCAGGGAACCTCCATGAGGCCCCCCACACCGGATAATAGTGTTCCATGGGGTCTGCTCAGCCCCATGTCTGCCCCAAGACACTAGCCACAGCTCTGCGTCGAGGTCCTGTAGACCACGGGAGAGATGGGGGGGCCAGGAGCCTATAGAACTCCAAGTCCAAGGGGACCCTTGCTGGGAGAACACAGGCCAAGACCTTCCTTCCTGCCACAGGCTTCTGTCCCTGCTGTCTGCTCCCCCAGGACTCCCCCCACACCCGGGATCTTCCTCCTCACCCTCCTTGGCCTCTCTCAGTGACCCTGTCTACACACAGATGTGCTGTCCATGTGAGTGGAAGGAAGGAAGGATGAGGTCCACTCACAGGGGTGAAGCTGTCTCCTGAGGGGGCAGCCCACCTCCAGGTCACACCGCCCCACCCAACACAGCCTCCAGTCCAGCTCCAGGTGGGCCGCACCCAGCCCTTCACTCACTTCAAATGGCCCAAGACGCATGGATTCCACTGGCCAGCCGGACTGGAACAACTTCTCCCCTTATAAGTATCTAGTGGGTGCCCACGGAATGCCAGGCAATGGGCCAGGCTCAGAGATGAGTGATTCCTCAGGAACAATGGGCTCAACGCCCTTAATTCACATCAGAGGAAACTGAGGCTCAGAGAGGGCGGAGAGGGCCCTGGTAACACAGCCAGCCGGTGAAAGTAAGAGGGGGGGCCCAGGCCCTGCTCCCGGCCCACCCGCCTGGGCTTGCTGGCGAGGCTGCTGGCCCAGGCAGTCTGGGCACTGTGGAAGCAGCCGGCTTGAGGCACAGGGGATGTGGCCTCCTCCCACACACTTACCTCCCTGACTACATCTTAGGCTGACATCCAGATTAACTCATATTCCCTACAGGGAGCTGCACGGCCAGAAGCTGCTGGTTGCAGAAGCCACCAGCTGGTTGTACAAGCACCGCTCCCCTGGTTGTGGGTGACAGATGAGATGCACTCACGTGAACACACATGCATGTGCACACACACATGCACACAGACGCACACACAAACACACACAGGCATACACACGCACACGCACATCCACACACACACATGCGCACACACACGCACACGCCTGCACTCACACACCCCCGTCGGCCCCAAGCAGGAAGGCGCCCCCGGCACACCAGCCCCTCTCAGCGCCCCCAGCGGGCCCGGCGCCTGGAGGGTTAAGGCGGGCGCGTCCCGCGGGTGGGCGGGGGGGGGGGGACGGGACCGGTGCCGGGAGCTCCGCTGCCCTGGCGTCCCCTGGGTCCAGGCCCAGTCGCTCCTTGGGCCTCTCTCGCGGGGCCGCCTCCGCCTCCTCCTTGCCGAGACGGGCGTGGGGCACGGGGTCGCCGCCCGGCGGGGAGCTCATCCGGCGGCGCAGACGCCCCGCGGCTCCGGGGAGGGACTTGGCCTGGGCCCCGGCCCCGCGCTCCTCTGGGGAGGAGCCGAGAGGCTGCAGCTGGCGGCGGCGGCCCCGGGCGGGAGGGGGTCCCAGGAAGCGGCCAGGCCGGAGCCCCCCACTCGGCCGCAGCTGCTGGCCTGGCCAGAACCGAGCGCGCCCTCCCGGTCTCCGCCGCTTCCCTCTGCAAACCGCGGGCAGGAGGAGCCCTCTCCTTAGCGGGCCCGGAGCTCAGAGGCGTCGCGGGGCGCGGCCGAGGGGAGGAGGAAGGAGAGCGGGAGCGCAGCCGGCCCGGGCCCAGCCGTGACTCGTGGGGCGGCGGCTCCGCCAATCTGTGGGCGCTGACGCGGGGGGCGGCTCCGCGGCGCTCGATATCTGCCCGCCCGGGACGCGGGGCGCCGAGAGGCTCGGCCAGGCGGGAGCTGCGCTCGGGGCGGCCGCTGCACCTGCCCGGGACCCCGCCGGCCGCTCCCCGCGCCCACCCCTTCCGCCCTTCGCCCCCCCCTTCCCCCCAGCCCCGGTCTCCCGGGCGCGGCGTGAGAGCAGAGCCCGGCCCGGAGGAGCCGCCCCTTCCCCGCCCGCCCGCCCGGCGCCTGGAGAGGAGCGCGCTGAGGATCGGGACGCCTGCGGCCGCCGCCACCGCCCAGGCCCGTCGCGCCCCGGCCGGGATGGACCCACACGCCCGATGAGCCCCGCGCCGGCGGCTGCGAGCGCCGAGCCTCCCCCTGCTGCGGCCCCAGCCGCCCCCCGCGCGCCCGGCTCCGCGGACCAGGACCCCTGGGCTCCCCGGCTGAGGGCGCGGCCGCTCCGGAGAGGCCGAGCGGGGACGGGCCCGAGATGGCGCGGGGACCCAGCGCTCCGGCGGCGGGCGCCCTGCACGCGGCCCGGGCCCGGGGACAGCCCCGGAGCTGGTAGCCGCCCGGCACCGATGGACCTTGACCCGCGAGGCGGCGCCGCGCTCGTGCCCAGCTGCAGCTAGAGGGGCGCGCGGGCAGAACGCGCTCCAGGCCCGGGCCGGCCCGCGCGGCCATGAAGATGATGCTGGTGCGCCGGTTCCGCGTGCTCATCCTGATGGTGTTCCTGGTGGCCTGCGCGCTGCACATCGCCCTGGACCTGCTGCCCAGGCTGGAGCGACGCGGCGCGCGGCCCTCGGGGGAGCCCGGCTGTTCGTGCGCGCAGCCCGCCGCCGAGGTGGCCGCGCCCGGCTGGGCCCAGGTTCGGGGCCGCCCCGGGGAGCCCCCGGCCGCCTCCTCCGCCGCCGGCGACGCGGGCTGGCCCAACAAGCACACGCTCCGCATCCTGCAGGACTTCAGCTCCGACCCCTCCTCCAACCTCTCGTCCCACTCGCTGGAGAAACTGCCGCCCGCGGCCGAGCCGGCCGAGCGCGCCTTGCGGGGGCGGGATCCCGGCGCCCTAAGACCCCACGACCCCGCGCACCGGCCGCTGCTGCGAGACCCCGGCCCGCGTCGGTCCGAGTCGCCCCCCGGCCCCGGCGGAGACGCCTCCCTCCTGGCCAGGCTGTTCGAGCACCCGCTTTACCGGGTGGCGGTTCCGCCGCTCACGGAGGAGGACGTCCTGTTCAATGTGAACAGCGACACCAGGCTCAGCCCCAAAGCGGCGGAGAACCCGGACTGGTGAGTGGGGGCTGGCAGGTGCCCACCCCCAAGGGAGCCGTGAGCCCAAGGCATGGTGTAGAGAGGTTCAGGGGCCCCAGAGGGCCGCCCCCCATGGAAGAGGCCGGGCAGGGAGTGTGGTGCGGGAGGAGGCAGCCGCCTACCTCAGGGCGCTGCCTTTGTCTCCAGAATAACCTCCTCCTTGGGAGGGGCTGCCGGCTGGTCCGGGAGCTGTGCCCTGTGGCTGCTGGTGAGGAAGCCAGACCCCGCGCCCTTTAGAAGCGAGTCCTGACCAGCCGTGGTCACCAGCTTGGGAAATGGGGTCAGGCAATGAATGAATGAGTTGGTGAGGGAAGGAGCCAGGCTGCCGCTGGGCTTTCAGACACTTGGCGAGGGTGCTCTGGGTGGGCACCTTGGAGAAGGTCTGGATGTGCCTATTGAGTCTTTTAAACCCAGTGGCTGGAGCAGAATTATCAGAGGGGCTTGCTGGCAGCCGTGAGGTGCAACAAGGCGGCCCAGCCAGCAAGGGCGGTGGGTGTGCTGGCTGCAAAGAGATGATGGCTCGATAAAGGGCGAGAAGCCACGGCAGGAACCTCTCTTTAAACTGTCCTGGCTAAGCCCTTTCCCCACCCCCCGGCCCCTCCCTCCGCCACACAGATCAAAACAAGCAGATGCTACACCGAAGCAGTGGAACATTAACCACGACAAGGCCAGAATAAGTAACTACCTGCCGAAGGTTACCCCAGCAGCAGAGGGGGAGACCAGCCTTCCAAAAGATCTGGTTGAAAGTCCCTTCTTCCCTGAAATGTCCAGGCCCAGTGTCTTCTGTCTAAACACACTGGCTGTTTGGAAGCCTCTGAGCCTTGCCTGCTGGTCAGGTTCAAGGAAATGCTTGGAAATTTGAGAACCAGAGCATTGGCCTGGGCTGTGGCTCTCGGCAGGGAGAGACGGCCGCCCAGAGCAGCGAGTGGCCAGGAAGTGTATCCTAGCCCCCCACCCCGCCCCCGTGTCCACCGCAGGACAGAGCTTCGGCAGAAAGCACCTCAGCTTTAGGTGAATTCGAGCTAGGACAAGTTCCGCGTTTCCCTCCAGCCCAGCAGGCAGACGGAGGGTCTGTCCCTCCTCCAGAACGGTCCCTTGACCCCAGAGATGTGAGGACAGGCTGCGTGGGCGGCGGGTCCTCCATGGGAGCCTGGGCTGGAGAGAGTGCTGCCTCCTTCCTCTCTCCCCACCCAAGGCTGCTCTCATTAAAATCAAATTTAGCCTCTTGCATCATTGTGCCCCTGGTTGTTGGAACAAAAGCAGAGAGCTGGGGAAGGTTCCTGACAGACTGGGCGTGTCTGTGAGTTTCATGCAGCCTGTGGTCAATGGTAGGTTCTCCCCTCTACTCCAGGGGAGGGCCACAGCCCCTCGCACCCTCAGCTGAGGTCATGGTTGGGCCATTTCGGTGACCCTGGGACAGACGTGGCGGGGATGGCAGGGCAGCGCTGACGTCCTGGAATTAGTTTTGCTGTAGTTAGAGCTGTCTGTGGTGTCTCCAGAGGGTGAGTAAGAATTACAGGCCTTTCACCGTGTTATTAGTTGGCAGCCGAGCGGCCACAGAAGAAAGCGCAGACGTTGCAGGGCCCTCTTTAAGCAGAGGCGCCTTCAACACATCTGCACTTGCTTGAACCCAAAGTTAAAAACACTGGCGTCGGTGCCCTCTCCCCGTCATCCGACTCACGGGCCTGTTCTTTCCATGCTGATGTTCGTCCTCGCTGCTCCCTGCAGGCCGCATGCGGGTGCTGAAGGTGCAGAATTCCTCTCCCCCGGGGAGGCGGCCGTGGACTCCTATCCCAACTGGCTCAAGTTCCACATTGGTATCAACCGGTACGAGCTGTACTCCAGACACAACCCGGCCATCGAGGCCCTGCTGCACGACCTCAGCTCCCAGAGGATCACCAGCGTGGGTAGGTGTCCTTGGGTGCACTCAGGGCCGTCTGTGTGCCGGCTGTGTGGCATCAGGGCTGCTGGGGCAGGCTATGTGTTAGAGAGGTCTGGGAGGCCGTTGCTCATTACGGCAGCGTCACCTCCTGCAGCAATCTGCACGGGCAGCGAGGAGGGACAGAGGGCTCGCGTCTCGTGTGCTCTCACACTGGATGTGCTCCTGATCTGCCGCACGATGAGCGGGGAGACGCCTGGACAGCCGGTCCACTGCGCTCTGCGTCCTCACCTGGGTGGTCCCGGGGGTGCCAACTGGATGACAGAGTCCTTCCCTCCTGGGGTAGAGGAATAGAGGGGTATCTCTGGCGGCGGTGACCCCTCCACCGGAAGCGTGTGCATGGAACTCTCCTGCTTTTCTACACACGACCCTGGCTGGGTGGGGAGACAGCCATGAGCCTGCTTCTTGTGGTTTTGAAGCCGTCCTTCGTCAGACCTCAGCAAGGCGCTGTGCAGTTTCATACTGAGGAGACATAGGCAGGGCTCAGGACGGAGGCCTGGGCCTCCCAGATGGAGGAGTTTGAAGGCAACATCTCCAGGTACTTTGGGATCTGCTGAATTGGACAAAAAAGGGCATCCAGTTGCTGATTTCAGGAAAATATGCCACTGCAGCTTCTGAGCGTGGAGGTTTGGTGCCATTGTTCTCAGCTTGTAGGCGATTGTTTGTGAAGGTCCCATTTGTCACCAGTGCTTGGAGAGGTAGTGAGGGCGGGGCTGAGGCCCTTTAGTGGGAGCAGCTGCTCCCCGGGGATTGCAGGGAGTGGGCCTGGGTGCACACAGCTGTGGGCAGGTGCAGAGGCCATGACAGCCTGAAGGCAGGGCTTTCTTTGCGCTGTGTGATGAGGCCAGCAGTCCCAGGCATTAGCTTCATGTGTGTCTCAGAAGCAACCTTGGTGCTGAAAGGGTCCCAGCAGCCTGGGGTTCTGTCCAGTTGCTGACACAGGACTTAGGTGTCCCCTTTCAGGCCAGCAGGTAGGTTCTCCTGAGCTCTTCGGGGCTGTTTCTGGCTCTCTCTGCCGGGTGCTGAGTTGTTTGCTGGGCACTCACCTGGTCATGGGGAGACAGAACTTGCAGCTCTCTCCCCACCCCTTGATCAGCTCACCTCATAACAGAGATCAGCTGGACAAGCTGGGAGTCCTCTTCCCTCCATGCTGCCTGGGAGTAACCTGAACCCCTGCCCCCCTCCAGGCCCCCCTCCGTGAAAGCGCTGCCTTTCTCCTGCCCCTGCAGCGGTCTGAGGGCTTTCAGCTGTGCTGGGGAACAGTCCTGCAGACAGCCACAGCCAGAACGTCCCTTCTGCCCCTGAGAGTGAGCATGGCCATTAAGGAAATATCCGATGCATTGATCAACATGTTTGTCCATTCAGCAGATTTTACTGGCACCTCCTGCATGTCAGACCCCCTTTCTGGGTGGTGGGGAGTTGAGGATGAGTTCAGCCTCAACGAGATCTGCTGCCTCTGTGGACCTGACAGCCCCAGGAAGAGACACACACGCACAGTGCCCGATCCTGAGGAGGAACGAGCACTTCAGAGCCGTGCACGCCAGCCAGGCCGTGTGGAGAGGAGGGGGCTCCACTGGGAGGGGCTGAGGACCTTCCACAGGGTCTGTCGGGCAGCTTACCTTCCAGGTGGGTCCGTCTTGGCAGGGAGAGGAATGAGAGAGCCGTGCACACCAGCCAGGGCGTTCGGGAGGAGCAGCACGCAAGTTAGAAAGTCCCCAGTGCCGCTGTCCGTATGAGCTTCTCTCCAGCTCATTTTCCCCATCTGTCCAGTGGGATCTCGCTGCGTGGGACCAATGCAAGGATAGGATGAGATGTGCATGTGAGCAAGCTTGTTAAATATTAACTAGTACTTTGTGCGTGGCCTTCCACAACAGTCCCCTCGTGTGCACAGGCAGGGTCTGAGCAGAGGGAGGGCTTTGTGGATTCCAAAGGCCACCAGGCCCTTGGCAGGCAACTGCAGCTCGCCACCTCCCTCACCGACCGGTCAGCTTTCCAACACCAACACTGAAGAGGTGTGGGAGTTCTGTGCCAGGAGCTCCCAGAGCAGCTTCAGGGAGAGTGTGGGGCCCCCTGGGACCTGGGGCATCTTTGCCCACCTTAGGAGTGCTTTGTCCATCTGGACAAGCTAGGCTTGGCTCACTGCCACCCCTCTTTGGTCCAGCTGTCCCGGGGCAGTGGTGCCCAGGCTGCCTGACATTGCAGGGGTGTGGACAGAGCCCTTGCCAGGGAATCCCTACCCCAGGATTCTGGTGTGGCCTCCGCCTGGGTGTGTCCTGGTTAATTCCTGTGCCTACTGAAGGCCTGCCCCAGCTGATCTCGCTCGCTCGCCTCCTAGACCATGCTGGCCACATTGGTTCTCATCCAGTCTTCTGGGGTGGGGACCCGTCCAAGGACAGGCTGGCTGCTCAGTCATTCTGCAGGGCCAAGCAGGGCCTGCAAGGACGATGGGCAGACACAGCCGCATCACCCAGGCAGGACAGCAGGCTCTGGCCCAGGAGATCTGGGGGTGAATCCTGGCTCTGCCAGCCATTAGCCAGAGTGGAAGTGGGCAAATGGATTAACGCCTCCAGCACCTGGTTTCTCACCGAGAACACAGAGAAGGTTATAATCTGGACCTGGTATAATCTGGACTCTGACTTACAAATCTGAATGCCAAGCAAAACCCATTCACTAGCGAAAACTGACTCAGGCTGAACGTATTTAGGGGCAAAACCTAAATTGTCGAGGCTAGTTAAAAGTCCTGATTTTTCTCTGTTACATTGAATAGTCACATGTTCCTCTGAG